>NC_000007.14:62026104-62326104 GCF_000001405.40 Homo sapiens
AAGCTTCAATTTTTTTCTATAAATTTTCTGATGTTAGGATAAAACCCATTACTTGTTCTATCTCATGGAATTTTTATTTCAAATATTTATTTTTCATCTATACATGTCACATTTTTCATTTTATAACTTCTCTTTTTCTCCTATGTTCAATTTTCATTTAAGTACCTTGACATATATATGTATTTATCTATATGTATTTATAAAATATATTTAAGGACCTTGAAATTTTCCTCTTTTCTGTCATTTATAAATGACTTATTTTTATCCTGTTAATATATATCTTAATTATATATATCTTACGGCTTCTTTGCATGTCAGAGGTTTTTTTGGGTATGTTGATGTTACGCTATTGAATATCTACATTTCATTGGCTACCTTTGAACAATGTTTTGGCAGGGAATTCAGTAACTTCAGGATGAGTATTTGTCTGTTGTTGTTTTAAATCTTCTCTTTAAACTTTGTTGAGTTAGTCTAGAGCCATCTGTAATTTGGAGCTAAATGAGCACTGTCACTAGGGCATGAACCTCCAGTGGTCTTTACTGAATATCCTGGAGGTACAGAGGGGATTCCCTTCTCTGATTAGAATTTGGAATATAAAGAGAAAAGAGAAAAATAGAAAGCTATGCATAAACACGTGCATTAAAATGAATTTTATGTGGGCTTTTTCATGAAAATGTTCCTAAGGTATTTTATTTTTTTATTGTGGTAAAATACACATAACATAAAATGTACTCTGTTAACCATTTTAAGTGTACAGTTCAGTGGTACTAAATATAGTCATAACATTGTGCAGCCGTCCCTACCATCCATCTCTATAATTCGTTTCATCTTGTAAAACTGAAACTCTATACCCATTAAACAATACTTCCCCATTTCTTCCTCCCCCCAGCTTCTGACACCCATCATTGTACCATCTCTATAATGCTAATCAAGCATAGTGGCTGTGTTTCTTGCTTCCTCTAGTCCGCAGGTAGCATACAAATGTAATAAACTACTTATTCATGTCACATCTATTTATTTTCTGCCGTATACCAAGCTTGTGGGATTCTCTTAAATACAACATTTTTCTACTTACACCTATGCAATACCCATTAGCATCGCCTTCCTAGATAGAGCAGTTTTGAAACACTCTTTTTGAAGAATCTGCAAATGGATATTTTGTTCACTTTGAGGCCTATGTTGGAAAACGAAATATATTCACATAGAAACAAGATCGAAGTATTCTCAGAAACTTCTTTGTGATGTGTGCATTCAACTCTCAGAGTTGAACTTTTCTTTTGATAGAGCAGTTTTGAAACACTCTTTTTGTAGAATCTGCAAGTTGATATTTGGAAGGTTTGAAGCCTATGCTGGAAAAGGCAATATCTTCGCAAAAAAACTAGACAGAAACATACTCAGAAACTTCTTTGTGATGTCTGCTTTCAACTCACAGTGTTTAACCTTTCTTTTGATAGAGCAGTTTTGAAACACTCTTTTTGTAAAATCTGCAAGTGGATATGTGTAGCGCTTTGAGGCCTATGGTGGAAACGGATATATCTACACATAAAAGATAGACAGAAACATTCTCCAAAACTTCTTTGTGATTTTTGCATTCAACTGACAGAGTTGAACATTTCTTTTGATAGAGCAGTTTCTCTTTTCTTTTTTTCCTTTTTAATTAGTATTAAACTTTAAGTTTTAGGGTGCATGTGCACAACGTGCAGGTTAGTTACATATGTATACAAGTGCCATGCTGGTGCTCTGCACCCACTTACTCGTCATCTATCATTAGGTATATCCCCCAGTGCTATCCCTCCCCCCTTCCTCCACCCCACAACTGTCCCCAGAGTGTGATGATCCCCTTCCTGTGTCCATGTGTTCTCATTGTTCAGTTCCCACCTATGAGTGAGAATATGCTGTGTTTGGTTTTTTGTTCTTGTGATAGTTTACTGAGAATGATGATTCCCAATTTCATCCATGTCCCTACAAAGGACGTGAACTCGTCATTTTTTATGGCTGCATAGTATTCCATGGTGTATATGTGCCACATTTTCTATATCCAGTCTATCATTGTCGGATATTTGGGTTGGTTCCAAGTCTTTGCTGTTGTGAATAATGCCACAGAAAACATACGTGTGCATGTGTCTTTATAGCAGCATGATTTATAGTCCTTTGGGTATATACTCAGTAATGGGATGGCTGGGTCAAATGGTATTTCTAGTTCTAGATCCCTGAGGAATCGCCACACTGACTTCCACAATTGTTGAACTAGTTTACAGTCCCACCAACAGTGTAAAAGTGTTCCTATTTCTTCACATCCTCTCCAGCACCTGTTTTTTCCTGATTTTTAATGATTGCCAGTCTAACTGGTGTGAGATGGTATCTGATTGTGGTTTTGATTTGCATTTCTCTGATGGCCAGTGATGATGAGCATTTTTTCATGTGTGTTTTGGCTGCATATATGTCTTCTTTTGAGAAGTGTCTGTTCATGTCCTTCACCCACGTTTTGATGGGGTTGTTTGTTTTTTTCTTGTAAATTTGTTTGAGTTCATTGTAGATTCTGGATATTAGTCCTTTGTCAGATGAATAGGTTGCGAAAATTTTCTCCCATGTTGTAGGTTGCCTGTTCACTCTGATGGTAGTTTCTTTTGCTCTGCAGAAGTTCTTTAGTTTAATTAGATCCCATTTGTCAATTTTGGCTTTGGTTGTCATTGCTTTTGGAGTTTTAGACATGAAGTCCTTGGCCATCCCTATGTCCTGAATGGTAATGACTATGTTTTCTTCTAGGGTTTTTATGGTTTTAAGTCTAATGTTTAAGTCTTTAATCCATCTTGAATTGATTTTTGTATAAGGTGTAAGGAAGGGATCCACTTTCAGCTTTCTACATATGGCTAGCCAGTTTTTCCAGCACCATTTATTAAATAGGGAATCCTTTCCCATTGCTTCTTTTTCTCATGTTTGTCAAAGATCAGATAGTTGTAGACATGTGGCATTATTTCTGAGAGCTCTGTTCTGTTCCATTGATCTCTATCTCTGTTTTGGTACCAGTACCATGCTGTTTTGGTTACTGTAGCCTTGTAGTATAGTTTGAAGTCAGGTAGTGTGATGCCTCCAGCTTTGTTCTTTTGGCTTAGGGTTGACTTGGTGATGTGGGCTCTTTTTTGGTTCTATATGAACTTTAAAGTAGTTTTTTTCAATTCTGTGAAGAAAGTCTTTGGTAGCTTGATGGGGATGGCATTGAATCTGTAAATTACCCTGGGCCTTATGGCCATTTTCACGATATTGATTCTTCCTACCCACTCCCATTCAACACAGTGTTGAAAGTTCTGGCCAGGGCAATTAGGCAGGAGAAGGAAATAAAGGGTATCCAATTAGGAAAAGAGGACGTCAAATTGTCCCTGTTTGCAGACGACATGATTGTATATCTAGAAAACCCCACTGTCTCAGCCCAAAATCTCCTTAAGCTGAAAAGCAACTTCAGCAAAGTCACAGGACACAAAATCAATGTAAAAAAAATCACAAGCATTCTTACACACCAAAAACAGACAAACAGAGAGCCAAATCATGAGTGAACTCCCATTCATAGTTGCTTCAAAGAGAATAAAATACAAGGGAGGTGAAGGACCTCTTCAAGGAGAACTACAAACCACTGCTCAAGGAAATAAAAGAGGATACAAACAAATTGAAGAACATTCCATGCACATGGGTAGGATAGAGGAGTTGTCAAACACTCGTTTTGTAGAATCTGCAAGTGGATATTTGGTTCCCTTTGAGGCCTATGTTGGAAAAGAAAATATCTTCACATCAAAAATAGACAGAAGCATTCTCAGAAACTTCTTTGTGATGTGTGCATTCATCTCAAGGAGTTGAAACTTTCTCTTGATAGAGCAGTTTTGAAACACTCATTTTGTAGAACATGGAAGTGGATATTTGGAGCACTTTGAGTCCTATAGGAAATAACTTCATATAAAAACAAGACAGAAACATTCTCAGAAACTTCCTTGTAATTGGTACATTCAACTCACAGATTTGAACATTTCTTTTGACACAGCAGTTGTGAAACACCATTTTGGTAGAATCTGCAAGGGGATAGTTTGTTCCCTTTGAGGTCTATGTTGGAAAAAGAAATATCTTCACATAAAAAAAGACAGAAGCATTCTCAGAAACTTTTTTGTGATGTGTGCATTCAACTCACAGAGTTGAACCTTTCTTTTGATAGAGCAGTTTTGAAACACTCTCTTTGTCCAATCTGCAAGTTGATATTTGGAGCGCTTTGAGGCCTATGGTGGAAAAGGAAATATCTTCACATAAAAACTAGAGAGAAGCATTCTCAGAAACTCTTTTGTGATGTGCACATTCAACTCACAAAAATGGATCTTTCCTTTGATACAGCTGTTTTGAAACACTCTTTTTGTATAATCTGCAAATGGGCATTTTGAGCCCTTTGAGGCCTATGATGGAAAAGGAATTATCTTCACATAATAACTAGACAGAAGCATTCTCAGAAACTTGATTGTAATGTGTGCATTCAACTCACAGAGTTGAACCTTTCTTTTGATAGAGCAGTTTGAAACACTCTTTTTGGAGAATCTGCAGGTGGATATTTTGTTCCCTGTGAGGTCTATGTTGGAAAACGAAATATCTTCACATAAAAACTAGACAGAAGCATTCTCAGACACTTCTTTGTGATGTGTGCATTCAACTCAGAGAGTTGAACATTTCTTTTGATACAGCTCTTTTCAAACACTCCTTTGTAGAATCTGCAAGTGGATATTTTGTTCCCTTTGAAACCTATGTTGGAAAAGGAAATACGTTCACATAAAAACTACACAGAAGGTTTCTCAGAAACTTCTTTTTGTTGTGTGCATTCAGCTCACAGAGTTGAACATTTCTTTTGATACAGCAGTTTTGAAACATTCTTTTTTTAGAATCTGCAGGTGGATATATGGAGCACTTTGAGGCCTATGGTAGACAAGGAAATACCTTCATACAAAAAATAGACAGAAGCATTCTCAGGAACTACTTAGTGATGTGTGCATTCAACTCACAGAGTTGAACCTTTCTTTGATAGAGCAGTTCTGAAACACTCTTTTTATAGAATCTGCAAGTGGATATATGGAGCGCTTTGAGGCCTTCAGTGGAAACGGGAATATCTTCACATAAATACTAGACAGAAAACATTCTTAGCAATTTCTTTTTGATGTGCACACTCAACAAACAGAGTTGAACCTTTCTTTTGATAGAGCAGTTTTGAAACACTCTTTTTGTAGAATATGCAAGAGGATATTTGGAGGGTTTTGAGGCCTCCTGTGGAAACGGGAATATCTTCACCTAAAAACTAGACAGAAGCATTCTCAAAAACTTCTTTGTGTTGTGTGCATTCAACACACAGAGTTGAACCTTCTATTCGATAGAGCAGTTTTGAAAAGCTCTTTTTGTAGAATCTGCAAGTGGCCATTTGGAGAGCTTTGAGGCCTATGGTGGAAAAGGAAATATCTTCACATAAAAACCAGACAGAAACATTCTCAGAAACTTCTTTGTGATGTGTGCATTCAACTCACACATTTGAACACGCCTTTTCATAGAGCTGTTTTGAAACACTCTTTTTGTAATATCTGCAACTGGATATTTGGGCCGGTTTGAGGCTTTCATTGGAAATGGCAATATCTTCACATAAAATTAGACAGAACCAGTCTCAGAAACTTCTTTGTGATGGGAACATTAAACACTCATTGTTGAACATTTCGTTTCATAGAGTATCTTTGAAACACCCTTTTAATAGCATCTGCAAGTTGATATTTGGACCGCTTTTAGGCCTTCTTTGGAAATGGGAATATCACCACCTGAAAACTAGAGAGAAGCATTCGCAGTAACTTCTTTGTGATTTTTTCATTGAACACACAGAGTTGAAGCTTCCTTTTGATAGAACAGTTTGGAAACGGTCTTTTTGTAAAATCTTCAAGTGGATATATTGAGTGCTTTGAAGACTTCGGCGGAAAGGGGAATATCTTCACATAAAAACTAGACAAAACCATTCTCAGAAACTTCTTTGAGATGTGTGCATTCAGCTCACAGAGTTGAAACTTCCTTTTGATAGAGCAATTATGAAACAATCTTTTTTTAGAATCTGCAAGTGGATATATGGATCGCTTTGAGGCTTATGGAAGAAAAGGAAATATCTTCATATAAAAACTAGACAGAAGCATTCTTAGAAACTACTTACTGATGTGGGCATTCAACTCTCAGAGCTGAACCTTTCTTTTGATAGAGCAGTTTTTAAACACTAGTTTTGTAGAATCTGCAAGTGGATACATGGAGCACTTTGAGGCCTATGGAAGAAAAGGAAATATCTTCATATAATAAGTAGACAGAAGCATTCTAAGAAACTATTTGTGATGTGTGCTTTCAACTCACAGAGTTGAACCTTTCTTTTGATAGAGCAGTTTTGAAACACTCTTTTTGTATAATCTGCAAGTGGACATTTGGAGCACTTTGAGGCCTGTGGTGGAAAAGAAATATCTTCATATAAAAACTAGACAGAATCATTCTCAGAAACTACTTTTTGATGTGTGCATTCAACTCACAGAGTTCAAACTTTCTTTTGATAGAGCAGTTTGCAAACATTCTTTTTGAAGGATCTGCAAGTGGATATATGGAGCCCTTTGAGGCCTTCAGTGGAAACAGGATTATCTTCACATAAAAACTAGACAGAAGCATTCTCAGAAACTTCTTTGTGATGTGTGCACTTAACTCACAGAGTTGAACCGTTCTTTTGATAGAGCAGATCTGAAACACTCTTTTTGTAGAATCTGCTAGTGGATGTTTGGAGGGTATTGAGGCCTACGATGGCAAGGGGAATATCTTCACTTAAAAACTAGACAGAAGCATTCTCAGAAACTTCTTTGTGATGTGTGCCTTCAGCTCACAGAGTTGAACTTTTGTTTTGATAGAGCAGTTTTGAAACACTATTTTTGTAGAATCTGCAAGTGAATATTTGGAGGGCTTTGAGGCCTATGGTTGAAACAGGAATATCTTCACCTAAAAACTAGACAGAAGCATTCTCAGAAACTTCTTTGTGATGTGTGCATTCAGCTCACAGAGTTGAACCTTCCTTTAGATAGAACAGTTTTGAAACACTCTTTTTGTAGATTCTGCAAGTGGATATTGGAGGGCTTTGAGGCTTACTTTTGAAACGGGAATATCTTCACCTAAAAACTAGACAGAAGCATTCTCAGAAACTTCTTTGTGATGTGTCCATTCAACTCACATAGTTGAACCTTCCTTTTGATAGAGCAGTTGTGGAACACTCTTTTTTAGAACCTGCAAGTGGATATATGGAGCGATTTGAGGCCTATGGTAGAAAATGAAATATCTTCATATAAAAACTAGACAGAAGCATTCTCAGAAACTACTATGTGATGTCTTCATTCAACTCACAGATTTGAACCTTCCTTTGATAGAGCAGTGTTGAAACACTCTTTTTGTAGAATCTGCATGTGGATATATGAAGCACTATGTGGTCTATGGAAGAAAAGGAAATATCTTCATATAAAAACTAGACAGAAGCACTATCAGACACTAATTAACGATGTGTACATTCAACTCACAACGTTGAAACTTTCTTTTGATAGAGCAGTTTTGAAACATTCTTTTCGTAGAATCTGCAAGTGGATATACGGAGCACTTTGAGGCATTTGGTGGCAATGGGAATATCTTAACATAAAAAGTTGACAGAAACATTTTCAGAAACTTCTTTGTGATGCACGCACTCAACTCAAAGAGTTAAACCTTTCTTTTGATAGAGAAGTTTTGAAACACTCTTTTTGTACAATCTGCAAGTGGGTATGTAGAGTGCTTTGAGGCCTTAGGTAGAAAAGGAAATATCTTCGTATCAAAACTAGACAGAAGCATTTGGTGATGTGTGCATTCAACTCAAGAGCTGAACCTTTCTTTTGATAGAGCAGTTTTGAAACACTCGTTTTGTATAATCTGCAAGCTGATATTTGGATAGCTTTGAGGCTTTTGTTGGAAATGGGAATATCTTCACAAAAAAACTAGACAGAAGCATTCTCAGAAACCACTTTGTGATGTGTGCATTCAACTCACAGTGTTGAACCTTTCTTTTGATAGAGCAGCTTGGAAACACTCTTTTTGTAGAATCTGCAAGTGGCCATTTGGAGGACTTTGAGGCCTATGGTGGAAAGGGAAATATATTCACATGAAAACTAGACAGAAGCATTCTCAGAAACTTCTTTGTGATGTGTGCATTCAACTCACACATTTGAACTCACCTTTTCATAGAGCGGTTTTGAAACACTCTTTTTGTAGTATCTGCAAGTGGATATATAGAGAGCTTTGAGGCCTTTGGTAGAAAAGGAAATATCTTCATATAAAAACTAGACAGAAGCAGTTGGCCATGTGTGCATTCAACTCACAGAGTTGAACCTTTCTTTTGATAGAGCAGTTTTGAAACACTCGTTTTGTATAATCTGCAAGTTGATATTTGGGACATTTTGTGGCCTTCGTTGGAAACGGGAATATCTTGACATAAAAACTAGACAGAAGCCTTCTCAGGAACTTCTTTGTGATGTATGCATTCAACTCACAGAGTTGAACATACCTTTTAATAGAACAGTTTTGAAGCACTCTTTTTCTAGGATCTGCAAGTGGACATTTGGAACATTTTGAGGCCTGTGGTGGAAAAGTAAATATCGTCATATAAAATCGAGACAGAAGCATTCTCAGAAACTACTTTGTGATGTGTTCATTCAACTCACAGAGTTGAAGCTTTATTTTGATAGAACAGCTTTGTAACACTCTGTTTGTGGAATCTGCAAGTGGACATTTGGAGAGCTTTGAGGCCTATGGTGGACAAGGAAATATCTTCACATAAAAGCTAAACAGAAACATTCTTAGAAACTTCTTTGTGATGTGTGCATTCAACTCACACATTTGAACACACCTTCTCATAGAGCAGTTCTGAAACACTCTTTTTGTAATATCTGCAAGTGGATATTTGGGCAGGTTTGAGGCTTTCATTGGAAAGGGCAATATCTTTCCATAAAATTAGACACAACCATTCTCAGAAAGTTCTTTGTGATGTGAGCATTCAACTCACAGTGTCCAACCTTTCTTTTAATAGAGTAGTATTAAAACACTCTTTTTGTAGCATCTGCAAGTTGATATTTGGACCACTTTGAGTCCTTCGTTGGAAACGGGAATATCATCACCTGAAAACTAGAGAGAAGAATGCTCAGTAACTTCGTCGTTATTTGTGCATTCAACACACAGAGTTGAAGCTTCCTTTTGTTAGAGCAGTTTTGAAACACTCTTTTTGTAGAATCTTCAAGTGGATATATTGAGTGCTTTGCGGCCTTTGGTGGAAACGGGAATATCGTCACATAAAAACTAGACAGAAGCATTCTCAGAAACTTCTTTGTGATGTGTGCATTCAACTCACATAGTTGAACCTTCCTTTTGATAAAGCAGATTTGAAACACTATTTTTGTAGAAACTGCAAGTGGACATTTGGAGGGCTTTGAGGCTTATGGTTGAAACGGGAATAACTTCACCTAAAAATTAGACAGAAGCATTCTCAGAAACTTTTTTGTGATGTGTGCACTCAACTCACAGAGTTGAAACTTTCGTTTGATAGAGCAGTGTTGAAACACTCTTTTTGTGGAATCTGCAAGTTGATATATGGTGTGCTTTGAGGTCTATGGAAGAAAAGAAAATATCTTCATATAAAAACTAGACAGAAGCATTCTTCGAAAGTACTTAATGATGTGCACATTCAACCAACAGAGTTGAAACTTTCTTTTGATAGATCAGTTTTGAAACACTCTTTTCGTAGAATCTACAATTGGATATACAGAGCAATTTGAGGACTTTGAGGCCTTCGTTGGAAACGGGAATATCTTCACATAAAAACTAGACAGAAGCATTCTCAGAAACTTCTTTGTGTTGTGTGCATTCAACTCACAGAGTTGAACATACCTTTTGATAGAACAGTTTTGAAGCACTCTTTTTGTACAATCTGCTAGTGGACATTTGGAGCACTTTGAGGCCTGTGGTGGAAAAGTAAATATCTTCATATAAAATCGTGACAGAAGCATTCTCAGAAACTACTTTGTGATGTGTTCATTCAACTCACAGAGTTGAAGCTTTCTTTTGATAGAACAGCTTTGTAACACTCTTTTTGTGGAATCTGCAAGTGGACATTTGGAGAGCTTTGAGGCCTGTGGTGGAAAAGGAAATATCTTCACATAAAAACTAGACAGAAGCATTATCAGAAATTACTTTGCGATGTGTGCATTCAACTGACACATTTGTACACACATTTTCATAGAGCTGTATTGAAACACTCTTTGTAGCATCTGTAAGTGGATATTTGGGCCGCTTTGAGACTTTCATTGGAAACGGCAATATCTTCACATAAAATTAGACAGAACCATTCTCAGAAACTTCATTGTGATGTGAACATTCAACTCACGGTGCTGAACCTTTTCTTTAATAGAGTAGTTTTGAACCATTCTTTTTGTAGCATCTGCAAGTTGATATTTGGACCGCTTTGAGGCCGTCGTTGGAAACGGGAATAGCATCACCTGAAAACTAGAGAGAAGAATTCACAGTAACTTCTTTGTGATTTATGCATTCAACACACAGAGTTGAAGCTTCCTTTTGATGGAGCAGTTTTGAAAAACTCTTCTTGTAAAATCTTCAAGTCGATATATTGAGCGCTTTGAGGCCTTTGGTGGAAACGGGAATATCTTCACATAAAAACTAGACAGAAGCATTCTCAGAAACTTCTTTGTGATGTGTACATTCAGCTCACACAGTTGAATCTTCCTTTTGATAGAGCAGTTTTGAAACAGTCTTTTTGTAGAACCTGCAAGTGGACATTTGGAGGGCTTTGAGGCCTATGGTTGAAACGGGAATATCTTCACATAAAAATTAGCAGAAGCATTCTCAGAAACTTCTTTGTGATGTGTACGTTCAACTCAGAGAGTTGAACCCTTCTTTTGATAGAACAGTGTTGAAACACTCTTTTTGTAGAATCTGTAAGTGGATATATAGTGTGCTTTGAGGCCTATGGAGGAAAAGGAAATATCTTCACATAAAAGCTAGAAGGAAACATTCTCAGAAACTTCGTTGTGCTGTGTGCTTTCTACTCACATAGTTGAAATTTTCTTCTGATACTGCAGTTTTCAAACAGTCTTTTTGAGGAATCTTCAAGTGGGCATTTTGAGGGCTTTGGGGACTATTGTGGATAAGGAAATATCTTCACATAAAAACTAGACAGAAGTGCTCTCAGAAACTTCATTTTGATGTGTGCATTCAACCCCCAAAGTAGAACCTTCCTTTTATAGAGAAGTTTTGAAACAGTCTTTTTGTAGAGTCTGCAAGTGGACATTTGGAGCGCTTTGAAGCTTTCATTAGAAACAGGAATATCTTCACATAAAAACTAGACAGAAACATTCTCAGAAACTTCTTTTTGATGCGAGCATTGAACTTACAGAGCTGAAACTTCCTTTTGATTGAGCAGTTTTGAAAAACTTTTTTTGTATTATCTGCAGGTGGATATTTGGGGCTCTTTGAATCCTTCATTGGAAACGGGAATATCTTCACATAAAAACTAGAAAGAAGCATTCTCAGAAACCAGTTTGTGATGTATGCTTTCAACTTCGTTGAACCTTCGTTTTGATAGAGCAGTTTTGAAATACTTATTTTGTAGAATCTGCAAGTGGATATTTGGAGCGAATTGAAGCCTTCATTGAAAATGGGAATATCTTCACATAAAAACTAGAGAGAAGCATTCTGAGAACCTACTTTGTGATGTGTGCATTCAACTCACAATGTTTAACGTTCCTTTTGATAGAGCAGTTTTGAAACACTCTTTTGTAGAATGTGCATATGGATATTTGGAGCGAATTGAAGCCTTCGTTGGAAATGGGCATATCTTCATATAAAAACTAGACAGAAACATTCTCAGAAACTTCTTTGTGATGTGTGCATTCAACTCACAGAGCTGAACCTTCCCTTAGATGGAGGAGTTTTGAAACACTCTTTTTGTAGAATCTGCAAGTGGAAATTTGGACTGCTTTGAGACCTACGGTAGAACAAGAAAAATCTTCATATAAAATCTACACTGAAGCATTCTCAGAAACCACTTTGTGATGACTGTATTCTACTCCCAGAGTTGAACCTTTCTTTTAATAGAGCAGTTTAGAAACACTCTTTTTGTAGAATCTGCATGTGGACATTTGGAGCACTTTGAAGCCTCCGTTGGAAACATGAATATCTTCACATAAAAACTAGACAGAAACATTCTCAGAAACTTCTTTGTGATGTGTGCATTCAACTCACAGATTTCAACCTTCTTTTTGATAGAGCAGTTTTGAAACACTCTTTTTGTAGAATCTGCAGGTGAACATTTGGAGCTCTTTGGGGCCTTCCGTGGAAAAGGATATACCTTCATATTAAAACTAGGCAGAAGCATTCTGAGAAACTTCTTTGTGATGAGTGCATTCAACTCAAAGAGTTGAAGTTTCCTTTTGATAGAGCAGTTTTGAAACACTCTTTTTGTAGAATCTGCAGGTGTATATTTGGAGCGCTTTGAAACCTTCGTTGGAAATGGGAATATCTTCACATAAAAATTACACAGAAACATTCTCAGAAATTTCTTTGCAATGTGTGCTTTCAACTTACAGAACTGAACCTTTCTTTTGATAGTGCAGTTTTGAAACACTCTTTTTATAGAATCTGCAGTTGGACATTTGGAGCTCTTTTAGGCTTGCAGTGGAAAAGGAAATATCTTCACATTAAAACTAGACATAAGCATTCTCAGAAACTTCTTTGTGATGTGTGCATTCAACTCACAGAATTGAATCTTCATACAAAAACTAGACAGAAGCATTCACAGAAACTACTTTGTGATGTGTCCATTCTACTCTCACAGTTGAAACTTTCTTCTGATAGAGCAGATTTGAAACAGTCTTTGTGAAGAATCTTCAAGTGGGCATTTGGAGGGCTTTGACAGCTATTGTCAAAAAGGAAATATCTTCACATAAAAAGTAGACAGAAGTATTCTCATAAAATTCATTTTGATGTGTGCATTCAACTCACAAAGTAGAACTTTACTTTCGATAGAGCAGTTTTGAAACACTCTTTTTGTAGAATCTGCAAGTGGATATTTGGAGCACTTTGAAGCTTTCATTGAAAACTGGAATATCTTCACTTAAAAACTAGATGGAAGCATTCTCAGAAACTTCTTTCTGTTGTGTGCATTGAACCCACAGAGCTGAACTTTTCTTTTTATAGAACAGTTTTGAAACACTCTTTTTGTAGCATCAGCAGGTGGATATTTGGAGCGCTTTGAAGCCTTTGTTGGAAACGGGAATATCTTCACATAAAAACTAGACAGAAGCATTCTCACAAACTTATTTGTGATGTGTGCATTCAACTTACAGAATTGAACCTTCCTTTTGATAGAGCAGTTTTGAAACACTCTTTTTGTACAATCTGCAATAGGATATTTTGAGCTCTTTGAAGCCTTCATTGGAAATGGGAATATCTTCACATAAAAACTAGACAGAAGCATTCTCAGAAACTTCTTTGTGATGCTTGCATTCAACTCACAGATTTGAACGTTCCTTTTGATAGAACAGTTTTGAAACACTCTGTTTGTAGAATCTAAAAGTGGGTATTTTGAGTGCATTGAGGCCTGTGGTAGAAAAGGAAATATCTTCAGATAAAAACTAGACAGAAGCATTCTCAGAAGCGACTTTGTGATGTGTGCATTCTACTCCCATAGTTGAACCTTTCTTTTGATAGAGCAGTCTGGAAACACTCTTTTTGTCGAATCTGCAAGTGGACATTTGGAGCACTTTGAAGGCTATGGTGGAAAAGGAAATATCTTCACATAAAAACTAGATGGAAGCATTCTCAGAAACTTCTTTGTGTTGTGTTCATTCAACTCACATAGTTGAACTTTACTTTTGATAGAGCAGTTTGGAAGCCCTTTTTTATTAAGTCTGCAGGAGGATATTTGGAGCTCTTTGAATCCTTCGTTGGAAACGGGAATAGCTTCATATAAATACTAGAAAGAAGCATTCTCAGAAACCACTTTGTGATGTGTGCATTCAACTCACACAGTTGAACCTTCCTTTTGATAGAGCAGTTTGGAAACACTCTTTTTGTAGAATGTGCATGTAGATATTTGTACCGAATGGAAGCCTTCATTTGAAATAGGAATATCTTCACCTAAAAACTAGATGGAAGCATTGTCAGAAAGTCCTTTGTGATGTGTGCATTCAACTCACAGAACTGAACCTTCCTTCAGACAGAGAAGTTTTGAAACACTCTTTTTGTAGAATCTGCATTTACATCTTTGGAGCGCTTTGAAGTCTTCGTTGGAAACGCAAATATCTTCACATAAAAACTAGACAGAGCCATTCTCAGAAAATTATTTGTGATGTGTGCATTCAACTCACAGAGTTGAACCATCTTTTTGATAGAGCAGTTTTGAAACAGTCTTTTTGTAGAATCTGGAGGCGCATATTTAGAGTGCTTTGAAGCCTTCCTTGGAAACGGGATTATCTTCACATAAAAACTAGACAGCTTTCTACATATGGCTAGCCAGTTTTCCCAGCACCATTTATTAAAGAGGGAATCCTTTCCCCATTGCTTGTTTTTCTCAGGTTTGTCAAAGATCAGATACTAGTAGATATGCGGCGTTATTTCTGAGGGCTCTGTTCTGTTCCATTGATCTATATCTCTGTTTTGGTACCAGTACCATGCTGTTTTGGTTACTGGAGCCTTGTAGTATAGTTTGAAGTCAGGTAGTGTGATGCCTCCAGCTTTGTTCTTTTGGCTTAGGATTGACTTGGTGATGCGGGCTCTTTTTTGGTTCCATATGAACTTTAAAGTAGTTTTTTCCAATTCTGTGAAGAAAGGCATTGGTAGCTTGATGGGGATGGCACTGAATCTGCAAATTACCTTGGGCAGTATGGCCATTTTCACGATATTGATTCTTCCTACCCATGAGCATGGAATGTTCTTCCATTTGTTTGTATCCTCTTTTATTTCCTTGAGTAGTGGTTTGTAGTTCTCCTTGAAGAGGTCCTTCACATCCCTTGTAAGTTGGATTCCTAGGTATTTTATTCTCTTTGAAGCAATTGTGAATGGGAGTTCACTCATGATTTGGCTCTCTGTTTGTCTGTTGTTGGTGTATAAGAATGCTTGTGATTTTTGTACATTGATTTTGTATCCTGAGACTTTGCTGAAGTTGCTTATCGGCTTAAGGAGATTTTGGACTGAGACAATGGGGTTTTCTAGATATACAATCATGTTGTCTGCAAACAGGGACAATTTGACTTCCTCTTTTCCTAATGGAATACCCTTTATTTCCTTCTCCTGACTAATTGCCCTGGCCAGAACACTATGTTGAATAGGAGAGGTGAGAGAGGGCATCCCTGTCTTGTGCCAGTTTCAAAGGGAATGCTTCCCGTTTTTGCCCATTCAGTACGATATTGGCGGTGGGTTTGTCATAGATAACTCTTATTATTTTGAAATACATCCCATCAATACCTAATTTATTGAGAGTTTTTAACATGAAGGGTTGTTGAATTTTGTCAAAGGGCTTTTCTGCATCTATTGAGATAATCATGTGGTTTTTTTCTTTGGTTCTGTTTATATGCTGGATTACATTTATTGATTTGCATATATTGAACCAGCCTTGCATCCCAGGGATGAAGCCCACTTGATCATGGTGGATAAGCTTTTTGATGTGCTGCTGGATTCTTTTTGCCAGTATTTTATTGAGGATTTTTGCATCAATGTTCATCAAGGTTATTGGTCTAAAATTCTCTTTTTTTGAAAGCTGAAACTGGATCCCTTCCTTACACCTTATACAAAAATCAATTCAAGATGGATTAAAGACTTAAACGCTAGACCTAAAACCATAAAAACCCTAGAAGAAAACCTTGACATTACCATTCAGGACACAGGCATGGGCAAGGACTTCATGTCTAAAACACCAAAAGCAATGGCAACAAAAGACAAAATTGACAAATGGGATCTAATTAAACTGAAGAGCTTGTGCACAGCCAAAGACACTATCATCAGAGTGAACATGCAACCTACAAAATGGGAGAAAATTTTCGCAACCTACTCATCTGACAAAGGGCTAATATCCAGAATTTACAATGAACTCAAACAAATTTACAAGAAAAAAATAAACAACCCCATCAAAAAGTGGGCAAAGGACGTGAACAGACACTTTTCAAAAGAAGACATTTATGCAGCCAAAAACACATGAAAAAATGCTCATCACCGCTGGCCATCAGAGAAATGCAAATCAAAACCACAATCAGATACCATCTCACACCAGATAGAATGGCAATCGTTAAAAAGTCAGGAAACAACAGGTGCTGGAGAGGATGTGGAGAAATAGGAACACTTTTACACTGTTGGTGGGACTGTAAACTACTTCAACCATTGTGGAAGTCAGTGTGGCGATTCCTCAGGGATCTAGAACTGGAAGTACCATTTGACCCAGCCATCCTATTACTGGGTATATACCCAAAGGACTATAAATCATGCTGCTATAAAGACATATGCACACGTATGTTTATTGCAGCATTATTCACAATAGCAAAGACTTGGAACCAACCCAAATGTCCAACAATGATAGATTGGATTAAGAAAATGTGGCACATATACACCATGGAATACTATGCAGCCATAAAAAATGATGAGTTCATGTCCTTTGTAGGGACATGGATGAAATTGGAAATCATCATTCTCAGTAAACTATTGCAAGAACAAAAAACCAAACACCGCATATTCTCTCTCATAGTTGGGAATTGAACAATGAAATCACATGGACACAGGAAGGGGAACTTCACACTCTGGGGACTGTTGTGGGGTGGGGGGAGGGGGGAGGGATAGCATTGGGAGATATATCTAATGCTAGATGACGAGTTGGTGGGTGCAGCGCATCAGCATGGCACATGTATACATATGTATCTAACCTGCACAATGTGCAAATGTACCCTAAAACTTAAAGTATAAAAAGAAAAAAGAAAAAAAAAAACTAGTCAGAATCATTCTGAGAAGCTTCTCTGTGATGTGTGTATTCAACTCACAGAGTTAAACATATCTTTTGATGGAGCAGTTCAGAATCTCTCTTTTTGTAGAATCTGCAAGTGGATATTTGGAGCTCTTTGCATCCTAGGGTTGAAAAGGAAATATCTTCACGTAAAAAGTACACATAATCATTCTCAGAAATTTCTTCATGATATGTGCATTCAACTCACAGAGTTGAACATATATTTTGATGGAGCAGTTTTGAATCTCTCTTTTTGTACAATCTGACAGTGGATATGTGGAGAGCTATGACGCCTACTGTGTATAATCAAATAGCTTCATACGAAAACTACACAGAAGCATTCTGAGAATCTTCTTTTTGATGTGTGCATTCATATCACAGACGTGAACCTTTCTTTTGATTGAGCCCATTTGAAATACACTTTTTGTAGTATCTGCAGGTGGATATTTGTTGCCCTTTACCCCCTATGGTGGAAAAGGAAATATCTTCAAATAAAAACTACACAGAAGCATTCAGAGAAACTCCTTTATGATGTATGCATTCACCTCACGGAGTTGAACCTAACTCTTGATTGAGCAGTCTTGAATGTCTTTTTTTGCAGAATCTGCAGGTGGCTATTTGGTGCCTTTTGAGGCCTGCTGTGGGACAGCAAATATTTTCACATAAAAACTACACAGAAGCATTCTGAGAAACTTCATTGTGATATGTCCAATCAACTCACAGAGTGGAACCTATCTTTTGAATGAGCAGTTTTAAATCTCTCCTTTTACAGATTCTGCAAGTGGATGTTCGGAGAGCTTTGAGGCCTATTGTGGAAAAGGGAATATCTGAGAAGCATTCTGAGAAACTTCTTAGAGAGGTGTGCGTTCAACTCACAGAGATGAACTTATCTTCTCATTGAGCAGTTTTGAATCTTACTTCCTGTAGAATCTGCAAGAAGGTATTTGGAGCGCTTTGAGGCCAACCGTGGAAAAGCAAATATATTCAGGTAAAAACTACACAGAAGCATTCTTGGAAACTTCTTTGTGATGCGCGTATTCGTCTCACAGAGTTGAACCTTTCTTTTGATTGAGCAGTTTTGAAACACTCTTTTTGAAGAATCTGCAAGTGGATATTTGGAGCCTTTTGAGGCCTGTTGTGGAAAAGGAAATATCTTCACATAAAAGCTACACAGAGGCATTCTGAGAAACTTCTTGTGATGTGTGCATTCAACTCACAGAGTTAAACCTATCTTTTGATTGAGCAGTGAAAAACTCTTTTTTTGTAGATTGTGCAAGTGTATATTTGGAGCCCTTTGAGTCCTATTGTGGAAGGGAAATATCTTCACATAAAAACTACTCAGAAACATTCTGAGAAACTTCTTTGTGATGTGTGCATTCAACTCACTGATTTGTACCTATCTTTTGATTAAGCAGTTTAGAATCTCTTTTTGTGTAGAATCTGCATTTGGTATTTTTACCCCTTTGCAACCTCTGGTGAAAAAAGAAATATCTTCAAATAAAAACTACCCAGAAGCATTCTCAGAAACTTCTTGGTTGTGTGTGCTTTCAACTCACAGAGTTGAAACTGTCTTTTGAGAGATCAGTTTTTAATCTCTCTTTTTGCAGAATCTGCAAGTGGATGTTTGGAGAGCTATGAGGCCTATTGTGGAAATGGAAATATCTCTACATGAAAACCACAGAGAAGCATTCTGAGAAGCTTCTTTGTGAGCTGTGCATTCAACTCACCGAGTTGAATTTAGCTTCTAAAAGAGCACTTTTGAATCTCTGTTTTTGTAGTATCTGCAATTGGATATTTGGAACCCTTTGCACCCTGTAGTGGAAAAGGAAATATCTTCAAATAAAAACTACACAGAAGCATTCTCAGAAACTTCTTCGTGATGTCTGCATTCAACACACACTGTTGAACCTATCTTTTGATTGAGCAGTTTTGAATCTCTCTTGTGGAAACTGCAAGTGGATATTTGGAGTGATGTGAGGCCTACTGTGGAAAACCAAATACGTTCACATAAAACCTACAAAGAATCATTCTGTGAAACTTCGTTGTGATGTGTGCATTTAACTCATAGAGTTGAACCTATGTTTCGTTTAAGCAGTTTGGAATCTCTCTTTTTGCAGAATCTGCAAATGGATGTTGGGAGAGCTTTGAGGCCTAGAGTGGAAAAGTAAATATCTTCACATGAAAACTACAGAGAAGCATTCTGAGAAACGTCTTCATGAGGTGTGCATTCAACTCACAGATCTGAAGTTATCTTCTCATTGAGCAGTTTTGAAACTCATCATTTTTAGAATCTGCAAGTTGATATTTGGAGCCCTTTGCGCCCATTGGTGGAAAAGGAAATATCTTCAAATAAAAACTACATAGAAACATTCTGAGAAGCTTCTTGGTGATGTGTGCCTTCATCTCACAGGGTTGAACCTATCTTATGATTGAGCAGTTTTGAAACACTCTTTTTGCAGAATCTGCAAGTGGATATTTGGAGCCCTTTGCCGCCTTTGGTGTAAAAGGAAATATCTTCAAATAAAAACTACTGAGAAGCATTCTGAGAAACTTCTTTGTGATGTGTGCATTCACCTCACAGAGTTGAACCTATCTTTTGATTGAGCAGTTTAGAATCTCTTTTTCTAGAATCTGCAAGTGGATATTTGTAGCGCTGTGAGGCCTACTGGGTAAAATCAAATGTGTTCACAGAAAAACTACACAGCGTTCTCAGAAACGTCTTTGTGATGTGTGGATTCAACTCACAGAGTTGGACCTATCTTTTGATAGAGCAGATTTGAATCTCTCTTTTTGCAGAATCTGCAATTGGATGTTTGGAGAGCTTTTATGCCTCTTGTGGAAAAGGAAATATCTTCACATAAAAACTACACAGAAGCACTTTGAGAAACTTCTTTGAGAGGTGTGCATTCAATTCATAGAGTTGAACTTATCTTGTCAGTTAGCAGTATTCCATCTCTCTTTGTGTAGATTCTGCAAGTGGATATTTGGAGCCCTTTGCACCCTGTGGTGGAAAAGAAATTATCTTCAAATAAAAACTACACAGAAGCATTGAGAGAAACTCCTTTGTGATGTATGCATTCAACTCACAGAGTTGAACATATATTTTCAATGAGCAGTTTTGAATCTCTCTTTTTGTAGAATCTGCATCTGGTTATTTGGAGCCCTTTGAGGCCTACTGTGGAAAAGCAAATATTTTCAAATAAAAACTACACAGAAGCATTCAGAGAAACTTCTTTGTGATGTATGCATAGAACTTACAGAGTTGAACCTATCTTTTGATTGAGCAGTTTTGAATCTCTCTTTTTGCAGAATCTGCAGGTGGATATTTGGAGCCCTTTGATGGCTACTGTGGAAAAGCAAATATCTTCAAATAAAAACTACACAGTAGCATTGTGTGAAACTTCTTGGGGATGTGTGCGTTCATCTCACAGAGTTGAAACTATATTTTGATTAGGCAGTTTTGAATCTGTCTCTTTGCAGAATCTGCAAGTGCATATTAGGAGCCCTTTGTGGTCTATGGTGGAAAAGGAAATATCTTCAAATAAAAACTACACAGAAGAATTATCAGAAACTTCTTCATGATGTGTGCATTCAACTCACAGAGTTGAACCTATGCTTTGATTCAGCAGTTTTGAATCTCTCTTTTTGGAGAATCTGCAAGTGGGCATTTAGAGCTCTTTGAGGCTTACTGTGGAAAAGCAAATATTTTCACATAAAAACTACAAAGAAGCATTCTGAGGAACTTCTTTTTGATGTGTGCATTCAACTCACAGAGTTGAATCTATACTTTGATTGAGCAGTTTTGAATCTCTCTTTTTAGAGAATCTCCAAGTGGACATTTGGAGCACTTTGATGCCTATTGTGGAAAAGGAAATATCTTCACATAAAAAGTACTCAGAAGCATTCTGAGAAACTTCTTTGTGATGTGTGCATTCAACTCACAGTGTCCAGCCTCTCGTGATTGAGCAGTTTTGAATCTCTCTTTTTGTAGAATCTGCAAGTGGATATTTGGAGCCCTTTGTGGCCTATGGTGGAAAGGAAATATCTTCCAATTAAAACTACACAGATGCATTCTGAGAAACTTCTCCATGATGTGTGCATTGAACTCACAGCGTCAAACCTATCTTACGATTGAGCAGTTTTGACACTCTTTTTGTAGAATCTGCAGGTGGATATTTGGCGTGCCTTGAGGCCTATTGTGGAAAAGGAAATATCTTCATATAAAAACTACACAGAAGCATTCTGAGAAACTTCTTTTTGATGTGTGCATTCAATTCACAGAGTTGAATCTTTCTTTTGATTGAACAGTTTTGAAACACTCTTTTTGTACAATCTGCAAGTGGATAATTGGAGCCCTTTGAGGCCTATTGTGGAAAAGGAAATATCTTCACATAAAAACTACTCAGAAGCATGCTGAGAAACTTCTTTGTGATGTGTGCATTCAACTCACAGAGTTGAACCTATCTTTTGATTGAGCAGTTTAGAATCTCTCTGTTTGTAGAATCTGCAAGTAGGTATTTGGAGCCGTTTGTGCCCTGTAGTGGAAAAGGAAATATCTTCAAATAAAAACTACACAGAAGCATTCTCAGAAACTTCTTCATGATGTGTGCATTCACCTCACAGAGTTGAACCTATCTTTTGATTGAGCAGTTTTGAATCTCTCTTTTTGTAGAATCTGCTAGTGGTTATTTGGAGCTCATTGCACCCTATGGTGGAAATGGAAATATCTTCAAATAAAAACTACACGGAAGCATTCTGAGAAACTTCTTTGAGATATGTGCATTCAACTCACAGAGGTGAACCTATCTTTTGATTGAGCAGTTTTCAATCTCTCTTTTTGCAGAATGTGCAAGTGGATATTTGGAGCCCTTTGTGGCTTGTGGTCGAAAAGGAAATATTTTCAAATAAAAACTACACAGAAACATTCTGAGAAACTCCTTTGTGATGTATGCATTCATCTCACAGGGTTGAACCTATCTTACGGTTGAGCAGTTTCAAAACACTCTTTTTCTAGAATCTACATGTGGATATTTGGAGCGCTTTGAGGCCTACCGTGGAAAAGCCAATAACTTCAGATAAATACTACACAGAAGCATTCTGAGAAACTTCGTTGTGATGTGTGCATTCATCTCACAGAGTTGAACCTTTCTTTTGATGAGCAGTTTTGAAACACTTTTCGTACAATCTGCAAGTGGATATTTGGAGCCTTTTGAGGCCTTTTGTGGAAAAGGAAATATCTTCACATAAAAACTACACAGAAACATTCTGAGAAACTTCTTTGTCATGTGTGCATTCAATTCACAGAGTTGAATCTTTCTTTTGATTGAACAGTTTTGAAACACTTTTTTTGTACAATCTGCAAGTGGATAATTGGAGCCATTTGAGGTCTATTGTGGAAAAGAAAATACCTTCAATTAAAAACTACTCAGAAGCATTCTGAGAAACTTCTTTGTTATGTGTGCAGTCAACTCACAGAGTTGAACCTATCTTTTTATTGTACAGTTTTGAATCTCTCTTTTTGTAGAATCTGCAAGTGGATATTTAAAGTGCTGTGAGGCCTACTGTGCAAAATATGTTCACATAAAAACTACACAGAAGCATTCTGAGAAACTTCTTTTTGATGTGTGCATTCAACTCACAGAGTTGAACCTATCTTCTGATTGAGCAGTTTGGAATCTCTCTTTTTGCAGAATCTGCAAGTGGATGTTAGGAGAGCTTTTACACCTATTGTGGAAAAGGAAATATCTTCACATAAAAACTACACAGAAGAATTCTGAAAAAATTTTGTGTGGTGTGTATTCAACTCACGGAATTGAACATTTCTTTTGATTGAACAGTTTTGAAATACTTTTTGTTGAATCTTCAAGTGGATATTTGGAGTCCTTTGAGGCCTATTGTGGAGAAGGAATTATCTTTACATAAAAACTACACAGAAGCATTCTGAGAAACTTCTTTATGATTTGTATATTCAACTTTCAGGGTTGAACCTATCTTTTGATTGAGCAGTTTAGTATCTCTCTTTTTGTAGAATCTGCAAGTGGATATTTGGAGCTCTTTGCTCCCTGTGGTGGAAAAGGGAATATCTTCAAATAAAACCTACACAGAAGCATTCTCAGAAATTTCTTCATGATGTGTGCATTCAACTCACAGAATTGAACCTATGCTTTGATTGAGCAGTTTGAATCTCTCTTGCTGTAGATTCTGCAAGTGGATATTTGGAGCACTTTGAGGCCTATAGCTGAAAAGGAAATGTCTTCACATAAAAACTAGACAGAAGCATTCTGAGAAACTTCTTTGGGATATGTGCATTCAACTCACAGCGTTGAACCTATCTTATGATTGAGTAGTTTTGAAACACTTTTTTTGTAGAATCTGCACGTGGATATTTGGAGTGCCTTGAGGTCTATTGTGGAAAAGGTAATATCTTCACATAAAAACTATACAGAAACATGCTGAGAAACTACTTTGTGATGTGTGCATTCATCTCACAGAGTTGAACCTTTTTTTTATTGAGCACTTTTGAAACACTGTTTTTGAAGAATCTACAGGTGGATATTTGGAGCACTTTGAGGCCTACTGTGGAAAAGAAAATATCTTCACATAAATAATACACAGAAGCATTTTGAGAAACTACTTCATGATGTGCACATTCATCTCACAGAGTTGAACATTTCTTATGATTGAGCAGACTGGAAACATTCTTTTTGTAGAATCTGCAAGTGGTTATTTGGAGTGCTTTGAGTCCTAATGTGGAAAAGGAAATATCTTCACATAAAAACTACTCAGAAGAATTCAGAGAAACTTCTTTTTGATGTGTGCATTCACCTCACATAGTTGATCCTTTCTTTTGATTGAGCAGGCTTGAAGCACTCTTTTTCCTTTTTTATTTCATTTTTTATTATTTTTTTATTCTTTTTTTATTTTTTTATTATTATACTTTAAGTTTTAGGGTACATGTGCACAATGTGCATGTTAGTTACATATGTAGCACTCTATTGATAGAACCCAGAAGTGGATATTTGGAGGACTTTGAGGCCTATTTTGGAAAAGAAATATCATCACCTAAAAACTACACAGAAATATTCTGAGATACTTCTTTGTTATGTGTGCATTAAACTCACAGAACTGAAGGTATGTTTTGGTTGAGCAGTTTGGAGTCTCTCTTTTTGGACAATCTGAAAGTGGACATTTGGAGCGCTTTGAGGCCTACTGTGGAAAAGCAAATATCTTCACATAAAAACTACACAGAAGCATTCTGAGGAACTTCTCTGTGATGTGTGCATTCAACTCACAGAGTCCAACCTATCTTTTGATTGAGCAGTTTTGAATCTCTCTTTTTGAAGAATCTGCAAGTGGATATTTTGAGCCCTATGCGGCCTATGGTGGAAAAAGAAATATCTTCAAATAAAAACTAAACAGAAGCATTCTGAGAAACTTCTTTGTGATATTTGCATTCATCTCACAGCGTTGAACGTATCTTATGATTGAGCAGTTTTGTAACACTCTTTTTGTAGAATCTGCAAGTGGATGTTTGGAGTGCCTTGAGGCCTATTGTGGAAAAGGAAATATCTTCACATAAAAACTACATGGAAGCATTCTGAGAAACTTCTTTGTGATGTGTGCAATTATCTCACAGAGTTGATCTTTTCTTTTGATTGAACAGTTTTGAAACACTGTTTCTGTAAAATCTGCAAGTGGATATTTGGAGCGCTTTGAGGCCTACTGTGGAAAAGCAAATATATTCACATGAAAACTACACAGAAGCATTCTGAGAAACTTCGATGTGAGAGGTGCATTCAACTCACAGAGTCGAACCTATCTTTTGATTGAGCAGTTTTGAATCTCCCTTTTGGCAGAATCTGCAAGTGGATATTAGTAGAGCTTTGAGGCCTACTGTGGAAAATGAAATATCTTCACACAAAAACCACACAGAAGAATTCTGAGAAGCTTCTTTGTGATGTGTGCATTCAACTCAGATAGTGGAACCTATCTTTTGATTGGGCTGTTTTGAATCTCTCTTTTTGTAGTATCTGCAAGTGGATATTTGGAGCTCTTTGTGGCCTATGGAGGAAAAGGAAATATCTTCAAATAAAAACTACAGAAAAGCATTCTGAGAAACTTCTTTGTGATGTGTGCATTCATCACACTGGATAGAACCTCTTATGATTGAGCAGTTTGGAAACACTCTTTTTATAGAATCTGCAAGTGTATATTTGGAGGGCTTTGAAGCCGTTTGTGGAAAAGGAAATATCTTCACATAAAACTACACAGAAGCATTCTGAGAAAGTTGTTTGTGATACGGGCACTCATCTCACAGAGTTGATCCTTTCTTTTGATTGAGCAGTTTTGAAACACTTTTTGAAGAATCTGGAAGTGGATGTTTGGAGGGCTTTGAGTCCTCTTTTGGAAAAGGAAATATCTTCACATAAAAACTACACAGAAGGATTCTGAGAAACTTCTTTGTTATGTGTGCATTCAACTCACAGTGTTGAACCCATGCTTTGAATGAGCAGTTTTTAATCTCTCTTTTTGGAGAATCTGCAAGTGGAAATTTGGAGAGCTTTGAGGCCTACTGTGGAAAAGCAAATATCTTCACATAAAAACTACACAGAAGCATTCGGAGAAACTTCTTTTTGATGTGTGCATTCATCTCACATAGTTGAAACTCTCTTTTATTTGAATAGTTTGGAAACACTCTTTTTGCAGTATCTGCAAGGGGACATTTGGCACACTTTGCTGCCAATGGTAGAAAAGGTAATATCTTCACATACATACTAGACGGAAGCATTCTGAGAAACTTCTTTGTGATGTGTGCGTTCATCTCACCGAGTTGAACCTCTCTTTTGATTGAGCAGTTTGGAAACACTCTTTTTGTAGAATCTGCTAGTGGACATTTGGAGCGCTCTGGAGCCTATGGTAGAAAAGGCAAAATCTTCAACTAAAATCTAGTAAGAAGGAATCTGAGAAACTTCTTTGTGATGTGTACATTCATCTCACAGAGTTAAACCTTTCTCTTGATTGAGCAGTTTTGAACTCTCTTTTTGTAGAATATGCAAGTGGACATTTGGAGTGCTTTAAGGCCTAAGGTGGAAAAGGAAACGTCTTTGCATAAAAACTAGACAGAATAATTCGAGAAACTACTTTGTTATGTGTGCATTCATCTCACAGAGTTGAAACTTTCTTTTGATTGAACAGTTTGGAAGCACTGTTTTTGTAGAATCTGCAAGTGGACATTTGGAGCTCTTTGTGGCCTATGGCGGCAAAGGAAATATCTTCACATAAAATCTAGACAGAAGCAATCTGAGAAACTTCTTTGTGATGTGTGCATTCATCTCACAGAGATAAACCTTTCTTTAGATTGAGCAGTTTTGAAATTCTCTTTTTGTATAATCTGCAAGTGGACATTTTGACTGATTTGAGGCCTATGGTGGAAAAGGAAATATCTTCACATAAACATTAGACAGAAGAATTCTGAGAAACTTCTTTGTGAGGTGTACGTTCATCTCACCGAGTTGAACTTTTGTTTGGAAACACTCTTTTTGAAGAAAATGCAAGTAGACATTTGGAGTGCTTTGTGGCTTATGGTAGAAAACGAAATACCTTCACATAAAATCTAGACAGAAGCAATCTGAGAAACTTCTTTGTGATGTGTGCAATCATCTCACAGAGTTAAACCTTTCTATTAATTGAGCAGTTTTGAAACTCTCTTTTTGTAGAATCTGCAAGTGGATATTTGGAGGGCTTTGAGGCCTGTGGTGGAAAAGGAAATATCTTCTCATAAAAACTAGACAGAAGAATTCTGAGAAATTTCTTTGTGATGTGTGCTTTCCTCTCACAGAGTTCAACATTCCTTTTGATTGAGAAGTTTGGAAACACTCTTTTTGTAGAATCAGCAAGTTGACATTTGGAGAGCTTCGCGGCCTGTGGTAGAAAAGGAACTATCTTCACATAAAATCTAGACAGAAGCAATCTGAGAAATTTCTTTGTGGTGTGTGCATTCCTCTCATTGAGTTAAACCTTTCTTTTGATTGAGCAATATTGAAGCTCACATTTTGTAGAATCTGCAATTGGACATTTGGAGTGCTTTGAGGAGTATGGTGGATAAGGAATAACTTCACACAAAAACTAGACAGAAGAATTCTGAGAAACTACTTCTTGATGTGTGCGTTCATCTCACAGAGGTGAATATTTCCTTGGATTGTGCAGTTTGGAAACACTCTTCTTGTAGAATCTACATGTGGACATTTGGAGCGCTTTGTGGAAGATTGTACAAAGGGAAATATCTTCACATAAAAACTAGGTAGAAGCATGCTGAGAACCTTCTTTTTGATGTGTGTGTTCATCCCATAGAGTTGAAAATGTCTTTTGATTTAGCGGTTTGGAAACACTCTTTTTGTATAATATGAAAGTGGATATTTGGAGCTCTACTTGGTCTATGTTTAAATTGGAAATATGTTCACATAAAATCTAGACAGAAGCAATCCGAGAAACTCCTTAGTGATGTGTGCATTCATCTCACGGAATTAAAACTTTCTTTTGACTGAGGAGTTTTGAAACTCTCTTTTTGTAGAATCTGCAAGTGGACATTTTGGGCGTTTTGAGGCCTATGGTGGAAAAGGAAATATCTTCACATAAAAATTAGATGGAAGCATTCTGAGAAAATTCTTTGTGATGTGTGCATTCATCACCCAGATTTGAAACTTTCTTTTGATGGACCAGTTTTGAAATAGATTTTGTAGAATCTGCAAGTGGACATTTGCAGTGCTGTGAGGCCTACGGTGGAAACGGAAATATATTCACACAAAAACTAGACAGAAGCATTCTCAGAAACTTCTTTGTGATGTGTGAGTTTTTCTCACAGAGTTGAAACTCTCTTTTGATTGAGCAGTTTGGAGACACACTTTTTGTAGAATCTGCAAGTGGACATTTGGAGCGCTTTGCAGCCTATGGTAGAAAAGGAAATATCTTCACATGAAATCTAGACAGAAGCAATCTGAGAAACTGCTTTGTTATGCGTGCATTCATCTCACTGAGTTAAACCTTTATTTTGATTGGGTAGTTTTGAAACTCTCTTTTTGTACAATCTGCAAGTGGACATTTGCAGCGCTGTGAGGCCTATGGTGGAAACGGAAATATATTCACATAACTAGACAGAAGCATTCTCAGAAACTTCTTTGTGATGTGTGCATTCAGCTCATAGAGTTGAACCTTTCTTTTGATTGAGCAGTTTGTAAACACTCTTTCTGTAGTATCTGCAAATGGATATTTGCAGCTCTTTGAGGCCTGTAGCAGAAAAGGAAATATCTTCAAATAAAAACTAGACAGAATTATTCTCCAAAACTTCTTTGTGATGTGTGCATTCATCTCAGAGAGTTGAAACTTTCTTTTGATTGAGCAGTTTTGAAACAATCTTTTTGAAGAATCTGCAAGAGGATATTTGGAGCACTTTGTGGCCAATGGTAGAAAATGAAATATCTTCACATAAAAACTTGACAGAAGCATTGTCAGAAACTTCTGTGTGATGTGTGCATTCAACTCACATAGTTGAAGATTTCTTAAGATTGAGCAGTTTGGAAACACTCTTCTTGCAGTATCCACAAATGGATATTTGGAGCACTTTGATGCCTATAGCTGAAATGGAAATATCTCCACATAAAAATTAGACAGAAGGATTCTGAGAAACTTCTTTGTGATGTGTGCATTCATCTCCCAGAGTTGAAACTTTCTTTTGATTGAGCAGTTTTGAAAATCTTTTTTTGTAGAATCTGCAAGTGGATATTTGGAGCGCTTTGAGGCCAATAGTGACAAAGGAAACCTCTTCACATAAAAATTAGGCAGAAGCATTCTGGAAACTTCTTTGTGATGTGTGCATTCAACTCATGGAGTTGAACCTTTCTTTTGATTGAGCTGTTTGGGAAGACTCATTTTCTAGTATCTGCAAATGGATATTTGGAGCCCTTTGACGTCTATAGCTTAAAAGGAAATATCTTCACATAAAGACTAGACGGAAGTATTCTCAGAAACTTCTTTGTGATGTGTGCATTCAACTCACAGAGTTGAAATTTTCTTTTAATTGAGCAGTTTGGAAATACTCGCTTTGTAGTATCTGCAATTGGATATTTGGAGCACTTTGAGGCCAATAGATAAAATGGAAATATCTTCACATAAAAAGTAGACAGAAGCATTCTGAGAAACTTCTTTGTGATGTGTGCAATCATCTCACAGAATTAAAATTTTCTTTTGATTAAGCAGTTTTGAAACAAACTTTTTGGAGAATCTCCAATTGGTTATTTGGAGAGCTTTGGGGCCTGTGGTAGAAAAGGAAATAACTTCAGATGAAAACTACACAGAAGCATTCTGAGAAACTTCTTAGGGATGTGTGCATTCAACTCAGAATTGAGCCTTCCTTTTGATTGAGCAGTTTGGAAACACTCTTTTTGTAGTATCTGCAAATGGATATTTGCAGGGCTTTGAGGCCTGTAGCTGAAAAGGAAATATCTTCACATAGAAACTAGACAGAAGTATTCTCAGAAACTTATTTGTGATATCTGCATTCATCTCAGAGAGTTGAACCTTTCTTTTGATTGAGCAGTTTTGAAACACTCTTTTTGTAGAATTCGCAAGTGAATATTTGCAGCGCTTAGAGGCCTACATCTGAAAGGAAATATCTTCACATGTAAACTAGACAGAAACATCCTCAGAAACTTCTTTTGATATGTACATTCACCTCACAGATTTGAACCTTTCTTTTTTTGAGCAGTTTGGAAACACTCTTTCTGTAGTATCTGCAAATGGATATTTGCAGCGCTTTGAGGTCTATAGCAGAGAAGGAAATATCTTCACATAAAAACTAGACAGAAGTATTCTCAGAAACTTCTTTGTGATGTGTGCATTCATCTCAGAGAGTTGAACCTTTCTTTTGATTGAGCAGTTTTGAAACACTCTCTTTGTAAAATTTACAAGCGGATATTTGGAGTGCTTTGAGGCGTCTGGTGGAAAAGGAAATATCTTCACATAAAAACTAGACAGAAGCATTCTCAGACACTTCTTTGTGCTGTGTACATTCCTGTCACAGATTTGAACCTTTCTTTTTATTGAGCAGTTTGGAACCACTCTTTTTGCAGTACCTGGAAAAGGATATTAGGAGCCCTTTGAGGCCTACAGCTGAAAACAAAATTTCTTCTAATAAAAAATAGACAGAAGGATTCTCAGAAACTTCTTTGTGTTGTCTGAATTCATCTCACAGAGTTAAACCTTTCTTTTGATTGAGCAGTTTTGAAACTATTCCTTTGTAGAATCTGCAAGTGGACATTTGGAGCAATTTGAGGCCTATGGTGGAAAAGGAAATAACTTCACATAAAAACTAGACAGAAGAATTCTGAGAAACTGCTTTGTTATGTGTCCGTTCATCTCACAGAGATGAACCTTTCTTTTGATTGAGCAGTTTTGAAACACTCTTTTTGGAGAATCTGCCTGTGGACATTTGAGCGCTTTGAGGCCTATGGTGGATAACGAAATATCTTTATATAATAACTAGACAGAAGCACTCTGAGAAACTTCTTTGTGATGTGTGTGTTCATCTCACAGAGTAAAAACTTTCTTTTGATTGAGCAGTTTTGAAACTCTCTTTTTGTAGTATGTGTAAGTGGACATTTGGAGCACTTTGTGGCCTATGCTGGAAAAGGAAATATCTTCACATGAAAAATAGACAGAAGAATTCTGAGAATCTTCTTTGTGAGGTTAGCGTTCATCTCACAGAGTTGAAACTTTATTTGATTGAGCAGTTTTGAAACTCTCTTTTTGTAGAATCTGAAAGAGAACATTTGGAACTCTTTGAGGCCTATGGTGGAAAAGCTAATATCTTCACATAAAAACTAGGAAGAAGAATTCTGAGAAACTTCTTTGTGATGTGTGCATTCATCTCACAGAATTGAACCTTTCTTTTGATTGAGCAGTTTGGAAACACTCTTTTATTAGAATCTGCAAGTGGACATTTGGAGTGCTTTGTGGCCTATGTTATAAAAGGAAATATCTTCACATAAAATCTAGACAGAAACAATCTGAGAAACTACTTTGTGATGTGTTCATTCATCTCACTTATTTAAACCTTTCTTTTGTTTGAGCAGTTTTGAAACTCTCTTTTTGTAGAATTTGCAAGTGGACATTTGGAGGGCTTTGAGGACTATGGTGGAAAAGGAAATATCTTCACATAAAAACTAGACAGAAGAATTCTGAGAAACTTCTTTGTGGTGTGTGTGTTTGTCTCCCAGAGTTGAACCTTTCTTTTGATTGAGAAGTTTGGAAAAACTCTTTTTGTAATATCTGCAAGAGGATGATTTTACGCTTTGGGGCCTATGGTAGAAAAGTAAATATCTTCACATAAAATGTAGACAAAAGCAATCTGAGAAACTTCTTGTGATGTGGGCATTCATCTCCCAAAATCAAAAGTTTCTTTTGATTGAGAAGTTTTGAAACTCTCTTTTTGTAGAGTTTGCAGGGGACATTTGGATTGCCTTGAGGCCTATGATGGAAAAGGAAATAGCTTCACATGAAAACTAGACAGAAGAATTCTGAGAAACCACTTTGTGACGTGTGCATTCATCCCACAGAGTTGAACCTCTCTTTTTATTGAGCAGTTTGGAAACACTCTTTTTGTAGAATCTGCAAGTGTACATTTGGAGTGCTTTGCGGCCCATGGTAGAAAAAAAATATCTTCACATAAAATCTAGACAGAAGCAATCTGGGAAACTTCTTTGTGATGTGTGCATTCATCTCACAAAGTTAAAACTTTCTTTTGATTGAGTAGTTTTGAAACACTCTTTTTGAAGACTCTGCAAGTGGACATTTGGAGCACTTTGAGGCCTATGGTGGAAAAGGAAATATCTCCACATAAAAACTAGACAGAAGAATTCTGAGAAACTTCTCTGTGATGCTTGCATTCATCTCAAATAGTTGAACCTTTCTTTCGATTCAGCAGTTTGGAAACACTCTTTTGGTAGAATCTGCAATTTCAAATTTGGAGCTATTTGCAGCCTATGGTAGAGAAGGAAATATCTTCACATACAATCTAGACAGAAGCAATCTGAGAAACTGCTTTGTGATGTGTGCATTCATCTTACAGAGTTAAACCTTACTTTTGATTGAGCCGTTTTTGAAACTCTGTTTTTGTAGAATCTGCAAGTGTGCATTTGGATCGCTTTGAGGCCTAGGGTGGAAAAGGAAATATTTTCTCATAAAAACTAGAGAGAAGAATTCGGAAAAACTTCTTTGTGACATGTGCGTTCATCTCACAGAGTTGAAACTCTCTTTTGATTGAGCAGTTTTGCAACACTCTTTTTGTAGAATTTGCAAGTGGATATTTGGAGTGCTTTGATGCCTATGGTGGAAAAGGAAATATCTTAACATAAAAACTAGACAGAAGCATTCTCAGAAACTTCTTTTTGATGTGTGCGTTCAACTCACAGAGTTGAACCTTTCTTTTGATTGAGCAGTTTGGAAACACTCTTTTTATACTATCTGCAAATGGGTATTTACAGCTCTTTGAGGAGTATAGCTGAAAAGGCAATATCCTCACATAAAAAGTAGACAGAAGCATTCTGAGAAACTCCTTTGGGATGTGTGCATTCATCTCACAGAGTTGAACCTTTCTTTTGATTGCGTAGGTTGGAAACACTCTTTTTGTAGAATCTGCAAGTGGACATTTGGAGTGCTTTGCAGCCTATGATAGAAAAAGAAATATCTTCACATAAAATCTAGACAGAAGCAGTCTGAGAAACTTCTGTGTTATGTGTGCATTCATCTCACAAAGTTAAAACTTTCTTTTGATTGAGCAGTTTTGAAACTCTCTTTATGTAGAAACTGCAAGTGGACATTTGGAGCACTTTGAGGCCTATGGTGGAAAAGTAAATATCTTCACATTAAAACTAGACAGAAGAATTCTGAGAAACTTCTTTGTGATGCTTCCTTTCATCTCAGAGAGTTGAAGCTTTATTTGATTGAGCAGTTTGGAAACACTCTTGGTAGAATCTGCAAGTTGAAAATTGGAGCTCTTTGTGACCTATGGTAGAGAAGGAAACATCTTCACATAAAATCTAGACAGAAGCAATCTGAGAAACTGGTTTGAGATGTGTGCATTCATCTCACAGGGTTGAACCTTTCTTTTGATTGAGCAGTTTTGAAACTATCTTTTTGTAAAATCTGCAAGTGGATATTTGGAGTGCTTTGAGGCCTATGCTGTAAAAGGAAATGTCATCACATAAAAACTACACAGAAGCATTCTCAGAAAGTTCACTGTGATGTGTGCATTCATCTCATAGAGTTAAACCTTTCTTTTGATTGAGCAGTTTGGAAACACTCTTTTTATACTATTTGCAAATGGGTATTTACAGCTCTTTGAGGAGTATAGCTGAAAAGGCAATATCCTCACATAAAAAGTAGACAGAAGCATTCTGAGAAACCTCTTTGTGATGTGTGCATTCATCTCACAGAGTTGAACCTTTCTTTTGATTGAGCAGTTTGGAAACACTCTTTTTGTAGTATCTGCAAGTGGACATTTGGAGTGCTTTGCGGCCTGTGGTAGAAAAGGAAAGATCTTCACAAAAAATCTAGACAGAAGCAATCTGAGAAACTTCTTTGTGATGTGTGCATTCATCTCACAAAGTTAAAACTTTCTTTTGATTGAGCAGTTTTGAAACTCTCTTTTTGTAGTATCTGCAAGTGGATATTTTGAGCACTTTGAGGCCTATGATGGAAAAGGAAATATCTTAACATAAAAACTAGACAGAAGCATTCTGAGAAACTTCTTTGTGATGCTTGCATTCATCTCAAAGAGTTTAACCTTTCTTTGAGCAGTTTGGAAACACTCTTTTGGTAGAATCTGCAAGTTCAAATTTGGAGGTCCTTACGGCCTGTTAGACAAGGAAATATCCTCACATAATATCTAGAGAGAAGCAATCTGACAAACTGGTTTGTGATGTGTGCATTCAACTCACATTGTTGAACCTTTCTTTTAATTAAGCAGTTTTGAAACACTCTTTTTGTGGAATATGTAAGTGGATATTTGGAGCGCTTTGAGGCCTATGCTGGAAAAGGAAATATCTTCACCTAAAAAGTAGACAGAAGCATTCTCAGAAACTTCTTCGTGATGTGTGCATTCAGCTCATGGAGTTGAACCTTACTTTTGATTGAGCAGTTTGGAAACACTCTTTTTATAGTATCTGCAAATGGATATTTGCAGCGCTTTGAGGCCTATAGGGGCACAGGAAATATCTTCACATAAAAACTAGACAGAAGCATTCTGAGAAACTTCTTTGGTATGTGTGCATTCATCTCACAGATTTTAACCTTTTTTTTGATTGAACAGTTTTGAAACACTCTTTTTGGAGAATGTGCATGTGGATATTGGGAGTGATTTGAGGCCTATGGTGGAAAATGAAATATCTTCACATAAAAACTTGACAGAAGCATTGTCAGAAACTTCATTGTGATGTGTGCATTCAACTCACAGAGTTGAAGTTTTCTTTTGATTGAGCAGATTGGAAAAACCCTTTTTACAGTATCCACAAATGGATATTTGGAGCGCTTTGAGGCCTATAGCTGAAATGGAAATATCTTGACATAAAAATTAGACAGAAGCATTCTGAGAAACTTCTTTGTGATGTGTGTGTTCATTTCAAAGAGTTGAACCTTTCTTTTGATTGAGCAGTTTTGAAAATCTCTTTTTGTAGAATCTGCAAGTGGATAATTGGAGTGCTTTGAGGCCAATGTGGAAAAGGAAATATCTCCACATAAAAACAAGACAGAAGTATTCTGAGAAACTTCCTTGTGATGTGTGCATTCAACTCACAGAGTTGAACTTTCTTTTGATTGAGCTGTTTGAAAACACTCATTTTGTAGTATCTGCAAATGTATATTTGGAGCACTTTGATGTCCATAGCTTAAAAGGATATATCCTAACATAAAAACTAGACAGAAGCATTCTCAGAAACTTCTTTGTGATGTGTGCATTCAACTCACAGAGTTGAAGCTTTCTTTTGATTGAGCAGTTTGGAAACACTCGCTTTGTATTATCTGCAATTGGATATTTGGAGCACTTTGAGGCGTATAGCTGAAAAAAGAATTATGTTCACATATAAAGTAGACAGAAGCACTCTGAGAAACTTCTGTGTGCATTCATCTCACAGAGATAAACCGTTCTTTTGATTAAGCAGTTTTGAAACACACTTTTTGGAGAATCTGCAAATGGATATTTGGAGCGCTTAGAGGCCTGTGGTGGAAAGCAAACATCTTCCCATAAAAACTAGACTGAAGCATTCTGAGAAACTTCTTTGTGATGTGTGCATTGAACTCCGAGTTGAACCTTTCTTTTCATTGAGCAGTTTGCAAAGACTCTTTTTGTAGTATCTGCAAATGGATATTTGGAGCACTTTGAGGCCTATAGCTGAAAAAGAAATATCTTCACATAAAAACTAGACAGAAGCATTCTCAGAAACTTCTTTGTGATGTGTGCATTCAACTCACAGAGTTGAAGCTTTCTTTTGATTGAGCAGTTTGGAAACACTCATTTTGTAGTGTCTGAAAATGTCTATTTGGAGTGCTTTGAGGCCTATAGCTGAAAGGAAATATCTTCACATAAAACCTAGACAGAAACATCCTGAGAAACTTCTTTGTGATGTGTGCATTCATCTCACAGAGTTGAAATTGTCTTTTGATTGAACAGTTTTGAAACACTCTTTTTGTAGAATCTGCAAGTGGATATTTGGAGGGCTTTGAGGCCTATGGTGGAAAAGGAAATATCATCACATAAAAACTAGACAGAAACATTCTCAGAAACTACTTTGTGATGTGTGCATTTAACTCACAGAGTTGAAGCTTTCTTTTGATTGAGCAGTTTGGAAACACTCTTTTGGTAGTGCTTTGCGGCCTATGGTAGAATAGGAAATATTTTCGCATAAAAACTAGAGAGAAGAATTATGAGAAACTTCTCTGCTATGTGTGCGTTCATCTCACGGAGTTGAACCTTTCTTTTGATTGTGAATTTTGGAAACACTCTTTTTTTAGGACCTGCAAGTGGACATTTGGTGTGCTTTGCAACCTATGGTAGAAAAGGAAATATCTTCACATAAAAACTAAACAGATCCTGAGGAACTTCTTTGTGATGTGTGCATTCATCTCACAGAGTTGAACTTTTCTTTTGATTGCATAGTTTCAAAACACTCTTTTGGTAGAATCTGCATGTGGAAATTTGGAGCGCTTTGCAGCCTTTGGGAGAAAAGGAAATATCTTCACATAAAATCTAGACAGAAGCCATCTGAGAAACTTTGTTGTGATGTGTGCATTCACCTCCAAGGGATGAACCTTTCTTTTGATAGACCAGTTTTGAAATACTCCTTTTGTGGAATCTGCAAGTGGACATTTCAAGCACCTTAAGGTCTATGGTGGAAAATAAAATATCTTCACATAAAAACTAGACAGAAGAATTCTGAGAAACTTCTTTGTGATGTGCGCATTCATCTCACAGAGTTGAATCTTTCTTTTGATTGAGCAGTTTGGAAAAACTCTTATTGTAGAATCTGCACATGGACATTTGGAGCGTTTTGCTGCCTGTGGTAGAAAAGGAAATAACTTCACATAAAATCTAGACAGAAGCAATCTGAGAAACTTCTTTGTGATGTGTGCATTCATCTCACAGAGGTAACCCTTTCTTTGAGTAGTTTTGAAACTCTCTTTTTGTAGAATCTGCAAGTGGACATTTGGAGTGCTTTGAGGCCTATGGTGGAAAAGGAAATATCTTCACATACAAACTAGATATAAGCATTCGGAGAAACTTTTTTACGATGTGTGCATTCATCACCCAGAGTTGAACCTTTCTTTTTATGGAACAGTTTTGAAATACTCCTTTTGTAGAATCTGCAAGTGGACATTTGGAGTGCTTTAAGGCCTAAGGTAGAAAAGGAAACGTCTTCGCATAAAAACTAGACAGAATAATTCTGAGAAACTACTTTGTTATGTGTGCGTTCATCTCACAGAGTTGAAAACTTTCTTTTGATTGAGCAGTTCGGAAACACTCTTACGGTAGAATCTGCAAGTTGACATTTGGAGCACTTTGCAGCCAATGTTAGAAAAGGAATTATCTTCACATAAAATCTAGACAGAAGTAATCTGAGAGATTTCCTTGTGATGTGTGCATTCATCTCACAGAGTTAAACCTTTCTTTTCATTGAACAGTTTTGAAACACTCTATTTGTAGAATCTGCAAGTGGACATTTGGGGCACTTTGAGGCCTATGGTGGAAAAGGAAACATCTTCACATAAAATCTCGACAGCAGAATTGTGAGAAAAATCTTTGTGACGTGTGTGTTCATCTCACAGAATTCAACATTTCTTTTCATTGAGCAGTTTGGAAACACTCTTTTTATAGGATCTGCAAGTGGACATTTGGAGTGATTTGCGGCCAATCGTAGAAAAGGAAATATCTTCACATAAAACCTAGAGAGAAGCAATCTGAGAAACTTCTTTGTGATGTGTGCATTCATCTCACAGAGTTAAACCTTTCTCTTGATAGAGCAGTTTTGAAACTCTCTTTTTGTAGAATCTGCAATTGGACATATGAAGAGCTTTGAGTCCCATGGTGGAAAATGAAATATCTTCAAGTAAAAACTAGATAGAAGCATTCTGAGCAACTTCTTTGTGATGTGTGCATTCATCTCCCAGCATTGAACATTTCTTTTGATTGACCAGTTTTGAAATACGTTTTTGGTAGAATCTGCAAGTGAACATTTCGAGTGTCTTGAGGCCTATGGTGGAAAAGGAAATATCTTTACATAGAAACTAGACAGAAGGATTCTGAGAAACTACTTTGTGATGTGTGCATTCATCTTCTAAGTTTGAAGCTTTCTTTTGATTTAGAAGTTTGGAAACACTCTTTTTGTAGAATCAGCAAGAGAATATTTGGAGTGCTTTGGGGCCTATGGTAGAAAAGGAAATATCTTCACATAAAATCTAGACAGAAACAATCTGAGAAACTTCTTTGTGATGTATGAATTCATCTCACTGAGTTATAATTTTCTTTTTATTGAGCAGTTTTGAAACTCTCTTTTTGTAGAACCTGCAAGTAGACATTTGTAGCGCTTTGAGGGCTATCGTGGAAAAGGAAATATCTTCACATAAAAACTAGTCAGAAGAATTCTGAGAAACTTTTTTGTGATGTGTGCGTTCATCTCACAGAGTTGAAACTTTCTTTTGATTGAGGAGTTTTGAAACACTCTTTTTGTAGACTCTGCAAGTGGACATTTAGAGCTCTTTTCGGCCTATCGTAGAAAAGGAAATATCTTCATGTAAAATTTAGACAGAAGCAACCTGAGAAACTTCTTTGTGATGTGTGCATTTGTCTCACAGAGGTAAGCCTTTCTTTTGATTGAGCAGTTTTGAAACTCTCTTTTTGTAGAATCTGCAAATGGACATTTGGAGGGCTTTGAGGTCTATGGTGGAAAAGGAAATATCTTCATATAAAAACTAGTCAGAAGAATTCTGAGAAACTTTTTTGTGATGTGTGCGTTCATCTCACAGAGTTGAATCTTTCTTTATACTAAGCAGTTTGGAAACACTCGTTTTGTAGAATCTGCAAGTGGATATTTGGAGCGCTTTGCGGACTATGGTAGAAAAGGAAATATCTTCACATAAAATCTAGACAGAAGCAATCTGAGAAACCTCTGTGTGATATGTGCATTCATCTAACTTAGTTAAACCTTTCTTTTCATTGAGCCATTTTGAAACTCTCTTTTTGTAGGATCTGCAAGTGGACATTTGGAGCATTTTGAGGCCTATGGTGGAAAAGGAAATATCTTCACATTAAAACTAGACAGCAGCATTCTCAGAAACTCCTTTGTGATGTGTGCATTCAACTCAGAGAGTTGAAACTTTCTTTTGATTAAGCATTTTGGCAACAAACTTTTTGAAGTATCTGCAAATAGATATTTGGAGCCTTTTGACTCCTATAACTGAAAAGGAAATATCTTCACACAAAAACTAGACAGAAGCATTCTGAGAAACTTGTTTGTGAAATGTGCATTCATCTCACACAGTTGAATCATATTTTTGATTGAGCAGTTAGGAAACACTCTTTTTGTAGAATCTGCAAGTGGATATTTGGAGCACTTTGGGGCCTATGGCAGAAAAGGAAATATCTTATCATAGAAATTAGACTGAAGCATTCTCATGTACTTCTTTGTGATGTGTGATTTCAACTCACCGAGTTGAACATTTTTTTGATTGAGCAGTTTGGAAACACTCTTTTGTAGAATCTGCAAGTGGAAATTTGGAGCGCTTTGTGGCCTAGAGCTAAAAAGGTAATATCTTCACATAAAAACTAGACAGAAGCTTTCTCAGAAAATTCTTTGTCATGTGTGCATTCATCTCACAGACTTGAAACTTTCTTTTGTCTGAGCAGATTTGAAACACTCTTTTTGTACAATCTGCAAAAGGGTATTTGGAGTGCTTTGAGGCCTATGGTGGAAAAAGAAATATCTTCACATAAAAACTGGACAGAAGGATTCTCAGAAACTTCTTTGTGATGAGTGTATTCAACTCACAGACTTGAACCTTTCCTTTGATTGAGCAGTTTGGGAACACTATTTTTGTAGTATCTTCAAAGGGATATTTGGAGCGCTTTGAGTCCTATAGCAGAAAAGGAAATATCTTCACATAAAAATTAGACAGAAGCATTCTCAAAGACTATTTTGTGATTTGTGCATTCATCTCACAGAGTTGAAACTTTCTTTTGATTGAGCAGTTTTGAAACATTCTTTTTGTAGAATCTGCAAGTGGATATTTGGAGCGCTTTGGGTCCTATGGTGGAAAAGAAAATATCTTCTTATAAAAACTAGACACAAGCATTGTGAGAAACTTCTCTGTGATGTGCGCATTCACCTCACAGAGGTGAAGCTTTCTTTTGATTGAGCTGTTTGTAAACACTCATTTTGTAGTATCGGCAAATGGATATTTGGAGCGCTTTGACGCCTATAGCTGAAAAGCAAATATCTTCACATAAAAACTAGACAGAAGCATTCTCAGAAACTTCTTTGTGATTTGTGCATTCAACTCACAGCGTTGAAGCTTTCTTTTGATTGAGCAGTTTGGAAACACTGTTTTTGTAGTATCTGTAAATGGATATATGGAGCACTTTGAGGCCTATAGCTGAAAAGGAAATATCTTCATATAAAAACTAGACAGAAGCATCCTGAGAAACTTCTTTGTGATGTGTGCATTCATCTCACAGATTTGAACCTTTCCTTTGATTGAGCAGTTTGTAAACCCTCTTTTTGTAGAATCTGCAAGTGGAGATTTGGAGCGCTTTGAGGCCTGTGGTGGAAAAGGGAATATATTCACATGAAAACTAGACAAAAGCATTCTCAGATACTTCTTTATGTTATGGGCATTCAACTCATAGATTTGAACCTTTCTTTTCATTGAACAGTTTGGAAACACTCTTTTTCCTGTGTCTGCAAGTGGATATTTGGAGCGCTTTTAGGCCTATAGTTGAAAAGGAAACATTTTCACATAAAAACTAGACAGAAGCAATCTGAGAAAATTCTTCATGATGTGTGCATTCTTCTCACATAGTTAAACGTTTCTTTTGATCGAGCAGTTTTGAAACACTCTTTGTAGAACCTGGAAGAGGATATTTAGAGTGCTTTGGTGCCTAAATCTGAAAAGGAATTATATTCACATGAAAAGTAGACAGAAGTATTCTGAGAAATTTCTTTGTGATGTGTGCATTCATCTCACAGAGTAGAATCTTTTTTTGACTGAGCAGTTTTGAAAAACCCTTTTTGTACATTCTGAAAGTGAATATTTGGAGCACTTTGAAGCCTACGGTGGAAAAGGAAATATCTTCACAGAAAACTAGACAGAAGCATTCTCAGAAAATTCTTTGTGATTTGTGCATTCAACTCACAGAGTTGAAGCTTTCTTTAGTTTCAACAGTTTGGGAACACTCTTTTTGTGGTATCTGCGAATGGATATTTGGAGTGCTTTGAGGCCTATATCTGAAAAAGAAATATGTTCACATAAAAACTAGACAGAAGCAAACTGACAAACTTCTTCATGCTGTGTGAACTCATGTCCCAGAATTGAACCTTTCTTTTGAAGGACCAGTTTTGAAATACTTTTTTAGCAGAATCTGCAAGTGGACAATTCTAGCGCCTTCAGGCCTACAGAGGAAAAGGAAATATCTTCATATAAAAACTACACAAAAGAATTCTGAGAAACTCCTTTTGATGTGTGCGTTCATCTCACAGAGTTCAACATTTCTTCTGACTCAGCCGTTTTTGAAACTCTCTTTTTGTAGAATCTGCAAGTGGATATTTGGAGCACTTTGAGGCTCATGGTGGAAAAGGAAATATCTTCACATAAAAACTACAGAGAAGAATTCTCAGAAACTTCTTTGTGATGTGTGCATTCATCTCACAGAGTTGAAACTTCCTTTTGATTGAGCAGTTTTGAAGCACTCTTTTTGTAGAATCTGCAAGTGGACAATTGGAGCGCTTTGCGGGCTATGATAGAAAAGGAAATATCTTCACATAAAATCTAGACAGGAACCATCTGAGAAACCTCTTCATAATGTGTGCATTCATCTCACAGAGTTAAAACTTTCTTTTCATTGAGAAGTTTTGAAACTCTTTTTTTGTAGGATCTGCAAGTGGACATTTGGAGCGCTTTGAGGCCTGTCGTGGAAAAGGAAATATCTTCACATAAAAAATAGACAGAAGAAATATGAGAGACGTCCTTGTGATGTGTGCATTCATCACACAGAATTGAACCTTTCTATTGATTGAGGAGTTTTGAAACACTCTTTTCATAGAATCTGCAAGTGGACATTTGGAGCACTTTGCGGTCTATGGTAGAAAAGGAAATATCTTCACTTAAAATCTAGACAGAAGCAATCTGAGAAACTTCTTTGTGATGTGTGCATTTGTCTCACAGAGGTAAACCTTTCTTTTGATTGAGCAGTTCTGAAACTCTCTTTTTGTAGTATCTGTAGGTGGATTTTTGGAGCCCTTTGAGGCCTCTGGTGGAAAAGGAAATATCTTCACATAAAAACTAGACAGAAGCATTCTCTGAACCTTCTTTGTGATGTGTACATTCAACTCACAGTTTTGAACATTTCTTTTGATTGAGCAGTTTGGAAATACTCTTTTTGTAGAATCTCCAAGTGGAGATTTGGAGCGCTTTGAGGCCTATGGTGGAAAATAAAATATCTTCACATAAAAACTAGACAGAAGCATTCTCAGATACTTCTTTGTGATCTGGACATTCAACTCATAGAGCTGAACCTTTCTTTTCTTTGAGCAGTTTGGAAACACTCTTTTTCCAGTATCTGCAAGTGGATATTTGGAGCGCTTTTAGGCCTATAGCTGAAAAGGAAATATCTTCACATACAAACTAGAAAGAAGCAATCTGAGAAAATTCTTCATGATGTGTGCATTCACAGAGTTGAATTTGGACTGCTTTGAGGCCCATGGTGGAAAAGGAAATATCACATAAAAACTAAAAAGAAGCATTCTCAGAAACATTTTTGTGATGTGTGCATGTAACTCATAGGGTTGAACCTTTCTTTTAATTGAGCAGTTTCTAAACACTCTTTCTGTAGTATCTGCAAATGGATATTTGCAGCAGTTTGAGGCCTGTAGCGGAAAAGGAAATATCTTCACATAAAAACTATACAGAAGAATTCTCAGTAACTTCTTTGTGATGTGTGTATTCATCTCAGAGAACTGAAGCTTTCTTTTGATTGAGGAGTTTTGAAATGCACTTTTTGTAGAATCTGCAAGTGGATATTTGGAGCGCTTTGAGGCCTTTGGTGGAAAAGGAAATATCTTCACATAAATCTAGACAGAAGCATTCTCAGAAACTCTTTTGTGATGTGTGCACTCAACTCAGAGAGTTGACCCTTTCTTTTCATTAAGCAGTTTGGAAACAAACGTTTTGAAGTATCTGCAAGTGGATATTTGGAGAGCTTTGACTCCTGTAACTGAAAAGGAAATATCTTGACATAAAAACAAGACAGAAGCATTCTGAGAAACTTGTTTGTGATGTGTGCATTCATCTCACAGAGTTGAACCACACTTTTGATTGAGCAGTTAGGAAACACTCTTTTTGCAGAATCTGCAAGTGGATATTTGAAGCGCTTTGAGGCCTATGGTGGAAAAGGAAATATCTTCACATAAAAACTAGACAGAAGCATTCTCAGATACTTCTTACTGATGTGTGGTTTCAACTCACCGAGTTGAACAATTCTTTTGATTGAGCAGTTTGGAAACACTCTTTTTGTAGTATCTGCAAATGGATATTTTGTGCACTTTGAGGCCTATAGGTGAAAAGTAAATCTCTTCACATAAAAACTAGTCAGAAGCATTCTGAGAAACTAATTTGTGATGTGTGCATTCATCTCACAGAGTTGAACCTTTCTTTTGTTTGATCAGTTTGCAAAGACTCTTTTTGTAGTATCTGCAAATGGATATTTGGAGTGTTTTAGGCCTATAGCTGAAAAGAAAGTATCTTCACATAAAAACTAGACAGAAGCATTCTCAGAAACTTCTTTGTGATGTAAGCACTCATCTCACAGAGTTGAACCTTTCTTTTGATTGAGGAGTTTTGAAACAGTCTTTTTGCAGAATTCGCAAGTGGATATTTGGAGCACTTTGAAGCCTCTGGTGGAAAAGGAAATATCTTCAAATGAAAACTAGACAGAAGCATTCTCAGAAAATTCTTTGTGGTGTGTGCATTCATCTCACAGTGTTGAACCTCTCTTTTGATTGAGCAGTTTTGAAACACTCCTTTGTAGAATCTGCAAGTGGGTATTTGGAGCGCTTTGAGGCCTACGGTGGAAAACAAATATCTTCACATAAAAACTAGACAGAAGCATTCTCAGGTACTTCTTTGTGATGTGTGCATTCAACTCACAGAGTTGAACCTTTCTTTTGATTGAGAAGTTTAGAAAAACTCTTTTTGTAGAATCTGAAAGTGGATTATTGGAGTGCTTTTAATTCTACAGTGGAAAAGGAAGTATATTCTCATAAAAACAAGACAAAAGCATGTTCAGAGGCTCCTTTGTGATGAAGGCATTCAACTAACAGAGCTGAGCCTTTCTTTTGATTGAGCAGTTTGGAAAAACTCTTCTTGTAGTGTCTACAAATGAATATTTTGAGCGCTTTGAAGCCTATAGCTGAAAATGAAATATCTTCATATAAAAAATAGAAGCATTCTCAGAAACTTATTTGTGATGTGAGCATTCAACTCACAGAGTTGAAGCTTTCTTTTGGTTAAGCAGTTTGGAAACATTCATTATGTACTGTCTGCAAATGGATATTTGGAGTGCTTTGAGGCCGATAGCTTAAAGGAAATATCTTCACGTAAAAACTAGAGAGAAGCATCCTGAGAAACTTCTTTGTGATGTGTGCATTCATCTTACACAGTTGAGACTTTCTTTTGATTGAACAGTTTTGAAACACTCTTTTCGTAGAATCTGAAAGTGGCTATTTGGAGCACTTTGAGGCCTATGGTGGAAAAGGAAATATCTTCACATAAAAACTAGACAGAAGCATTCTCAGAAACTACTTTGTGATGTGTGCATTCACCTCACAGAGTTGAAGCTTTCTTTTCTTTGAGCAGTTTGGAAACACTTTTTGTAGTATCTGCAAATGGATATTTGGAGTGCTTTGAGGTCTATAGCTGAAAGGAAATATCTTCACATAAAAACTAGGCAGAAGCATCCTGAGAAAATTCTTTGTGATGTGTGCATACATCTCACAGAGTTGAACTTTCCTTTTGATTGAGCAGTTTTGAAACACTCTTTTTGAAGTATTTTCAAATGGATATTTACAGTGCTTTGAGGCCTATAGCCGAAAAGGAAGACTCTTCACCTAAAAACTAGACAGAAGTATTCTCAGAAACTACTTTGTGATGTGCGCATTCAACTCACAGAGTTGAAGCTTTCTTTTGATCGAGCAGTTTGGAAACACTCTTTTTGTTGTATCAGCCAATGGATATTTTGAGCACTTTGAGTCCTATAGATGAAAAGGAAATCTCTTCACATAAAAACTAGGCAGAAGCATTCTGAGAAACTTCTTTGTGATGTATTCATTCATTTCACAGAGTTGAACCTTTCTTTTGATTGAGCAGTTTTGAAACTCTCTTTTTGTAGAATCTACAGGTGGACATTTGGAGCGCTTTTCAGCCTACATTTCAAAAGGAAATATCTTCACATAAAATCTAAACAGAAGCAATCTGAGAAACTTCTTTGTGATGTGTGCATTCATTTCACTGAGTTAAACCTTTGTTTTGATTGAGCAGTTTTGAAACTCTGTTTTTGTAGAATCTGCAAGTGGACATTTGGAGTGCTTTGTGGCCTATGTTATAAAAGGAAATATCTTCACGTAAAATCTAGACAGAAGCAATCTGAGAAACTTCTTTGTGATGTGTTCATTCATCTCATGGATTTAAACCTTTCTTTTGTTTGAGCAGTTTTGAAACTCTCTTTTTGTAGAATGTACAAGTGGACATTTGGAGCCTTGAACCTTTTTTTGATTTAGCAGTTTTGAAACACTCCTTTTGTAGAATCTACAAGTAGAATGCATACATCACAAAGAAATTTCTCAGAATGCTTCTGACTAGTTTTTATGTAAAGATGTTTCCTTTTCCTCCATAGACCTCAAATCACTCCAAATATCCACTTGCAGATATAGAAAAAGACTTTTTCAAAACTGCTCAATCAAAAGAAAAGTTCAACTGTGTGAGATGAATGCACACATCACACAGAAGTTTCTCAGAATGCTTCTGTCTAGTTTTTATGAGAATATATTTCCTATTTCTACGTAGGCCTCAATGGGTGCACAAATATCCCTTTGCAGAATCTACAAAACGACTGTTTCCAAACTTTTCCATCAAAAGAAAGTTTGAACTCTGTGAGGTGAATGTGCACATCACAAAGAACTTTCTCAGAATCCTTCTGTGTAGTTTTTATGTGAAGATATTTCATTTTTCACAATAGGCCTCAAAGTGCTACAAATATCCATTTACAGATTCTACAAAAAGAATGTTTCCAAACTGCTCAATCAAAAGAAAATTTCAACTCTGTGGGATGAAAACACACATGACAAAAAAGTTTCTCCGACAGTTTCAGTCTAGTTTTTATGTGAAGATATAAACTATTTCCCCAGCATCGTCAATGGGCTAATAAATGTCCCTATGCAGATTCTAAGGATCGGCTGTTTCCAAACTGCCCAATCAAAAGAAAGTTTCAACTCTGTGAGATGAAAGCACATATCACAAAGAAGTTTCTCAGAAAGTTTCTGTCTAGTTTTTATGTGAAGATATTTCCTATTTCCCCATATGCCTCATTGAGTTCACAAATATCCCTTTGCAGCTGCTTCAAAACGACTGATCCCAAACTGCTCAATCAAAAGGAATTTCCAACTCTGTGAGATGAATGCACTCTTCACAAAGAAGTTTCTCAGAATGTTTCTGTCTAGTTTTTATGTGAACATATTTCCTTTTCCACCACAGGCCTCTATGAGCTCCAAGTATCCACTTGCAGATTCCACAAAAAGAGTGTCTCAAAACTGCTCAATGAAAAGAAAGCTTCCCTGTAACATAAATGAGCACATCAAAAAGAAGTTTCTCAGACTGCTTCTGTCTAGCTTGATGTGAAAATATTTCCTTATCCACCATAGGACTCAAAGTGCTCCAAATATCCACTTGCAGATACTACAAAAAGACTCTTTCCAAACTCCTCAATCAAAAGAAAGGTTCAACTCTGTGAGATGAATGCACTCATCATGAAAAGTTTCTCCAATTTCTTCTGTCTAGTTTTCATGTGAAGATATTTCCTTTTTCACCATATGCCTCAAAGCACTCCAAATATCCATTTCAGGATTCTACAAAAAGACTCTTTCCAATCTAGTCAATCAAAAGAAAGTTTCAACTCCTTGAAACATCACAAAGAAGATTCTCAGAACGTTTCAGTGTAGTTTTTATGTGACAATATTTCCTATTGCTCCTTAGGCCCCAATGGGTTCAGAAATATGCCTTTGCAGATTCTACAAAACGACGGTTTCTAAACTGCTTAATCAAAAGAAAGGTTCATGTCTGTGAGATGAAGGTGCACATTACAAAGAAGTTTCTCAGAATGCTTCTGCCTAGTTTTTATGTGAAGATATTTCCTTTTTCACCATAGGCCTCAAAGCGCTCCGAATATCCATTTGCAGATTCCATAAAAAGACTGTTTCCAAACTGCTCAACCAAAACAAAGTTTCAACTCTGTGAGACGAAAGCACACATCACAAAGAAGTTTCTCAGAAAGGTTCTGTCTAGTTTTAATGTGAAGATATTTTCTACTTCCCATAGGCCTCAGTGAGCTCACAAATATCCCTCCACAGATTCTTCAAAACAACTGTATCCAAATTGCTCCATCAAAAGAAATGTTCAACTCTGTGAGATGAATGCACACATCGCAAAGAATTTTCTCAGAATGCTTTGGTCTAGTCATTATGTGAAGATATTTCCTTTTTCACTGTAGGCTTCAAGGCGATCCAAATATCCTTTTGAAGGTACTACAAAAAGACTTTTTCCAAACTGCTCAATCAAGAGAAACGTTCAACACTGTGAGATGAATGCACACGTCACAAAGAAGTTTCTCAGAATTGTTCTGTCTAGTTTTTATGTGAAGATATTTCCTTTTTCACCATAGGCCTAAAAGCAATCCAACTATCCATTTGCAGATTCTACAAAAACACTGTTTACAAACTGCTCAATCAAAAGAAAGTTTCAACTCTGTGGTATGAAAACACACATCACAAAGAAGTTTCTCAGAATGCTTCTGTCTACTTTTTATGTCAAGAAATTTCCTATTTCCCCATAGGCCTCAAAGGGCTCACAAGTATCCCTTTGCGGATCCTACAAAATGACTGTTTCAAAACTACTCAATCAAAGGAAATATTCAACTCTGTGAGATGAATGAACCCATCACAAAGAAGTTTCTCAGAGTGCTTCTGTCTAGTGTTTAGGTGAAAATATTTCCTCTTCCACAATAGGCCTAAAAGCGTTCCAAATATCCACTTGGAGATTCTACAAAAAGAGTGTTCCCAAACTGCTCAATCAAAAGACAGGTTCAACTCTCTGAAATGAAAGCACACATCACAAAGAAGTTTCTCAAAAGCCTTCTGTCTCATTTTAATGTTAAGATATTTCCCGTTTCTCCATAGGCCTCAAGGCGCTCCAAATATCCATTTGCAGATACCACAATAAGACTATTTCCAAACTACTCAATCAAAAGAAAGGTTCAAGACTGTAAGATGAATGAAAACATCCAAAAGAAGTTTCTCAAAATGTTTCTGTCTAGTTTTTATGTGAAGATATTTCCTTTTTCACCATAGGCCTCAAAGCACTCAAAATATCCATTTGTAGATTCTACAAAAAGACTGTTTCCAAACTGCTCAACCAAAAGAAAGTTTCAAATCTGTGAGATGAAAGCACACCTCACAAAGAACTTTCTCAAAAAATTTCTCTCTAGTTTTTATATGAAGATATTTCCTATTTCCCCATAGGCGTCAATGGGCTCACAAATATCCCTTTGCAGATTCTACAAAATGACTGCTTCTAAACTGCTCAATCAAAAGAAATATTCAACTGTGTCAGATGAATGCACCCATCCATCACAAAGAAGTTTCTTAGCATGTTTCGATCTAGTTTTTAGGTGAAGATATTCCCTATGCCATAAAAGCCTTCAAAGAGTTCCAAATATCCCCTTGCAGATTCTACAAAAACAGTGTTCCCAAACTGCTCAATCAAAAGAAAGGTTCAACTCTGTGAAATGAAAGCACACATCACAAAGAAGTTTCTCAAAAGGATTATCTTTCGTTTTTATGTTAAGATATTTCCTTTTTCACCATAGGCCTCAAAGCACTCCAAATATCCATTAACAGATACAACAAAAAGACTGTTTCCAAACTGCTCAATCGAAAGAAAAGTTCAACTCTGTGAGACGAATGCACACTTCACAAAGAAGTTTCTCAGAATGCTTCCGTCTATTTTTTATGTGAAGATATTTCCTTTTTCACCATAGGCCTAAAAGCGCTCCAAATATCCATTTGCAGATTCTACAAACAGATTGTTTTCAACCTACTCAATCAAAAGAAAGTTTCATCTCTGTGAGACGAAAGCACACATCTCAAAGAAGTTTCTCAGAAACTTTCTGTCTAGTTTTTATGTGAAGATATTTCCTATTTCCCCATAAACCTCAGAGATAAGCTCACAATTATCCCTTTGCAGAATCTACAAAATGACGGTTTCCAAACTGCTCAGTCAATAGAAAGATTCAAATCTGTGAGATGAATGCACACGTCACAAAGAACTTTCTCAGAATGCTTCTGTCTAGTGTTTATATGAAGATATTTCCTTTTCCACCATGGCCTCAAAGCACTTCAAATATCCAGTTGCAGATTCTACAAAAAGAGAGTTTCAAATCTGCTCAATCAAAAGAATGGTTCAACTCTGTGAGACGAATGCACACATCGCAAAGAAGTTCCTCAGAACGCTTCTGTCTAATTTTTATGTAAAAATATTTCCTGTTTCACCATTTGCTTCAAAGCACTCCAAATATCCGTTTGCAGATACTACAAAGAGACTCCTTCCAAACTGCTCAATCAAAAGAAACGTTCAACGCTGTGTGATGAATGCACACATCACAAAGAAGTTTCTCAGAATGCTTCTGTCTAGTTTTTATGTGAAGATATTTCCTTTTTCACCATAGGTTTCATAGTGCTCCAAATATCCATTTGCATATACTACAAAAAGACTTTTTCTAAACTGCTCAATGAAAAGAAATGTCCAACACTGTGAGATGAATGCACATAACACTAAGAAGTTTCTGAGAATGCTACTGTCTAGTTTTTATGTGAAGATATTTGTTTTTCACCATAGGCCTCAAAGCATTCAAATATCCATATGCATATATCACAAAAAGACTGTTTCCAAACTGCTCAATCAAGAGAAACGTTCAACCCTGTGAGATGAATGCACACATCACAAAGCAGTTTCTCAGAATGCTTCTGTCTAGTTTTTATCTGAAGTTATTTTCTTTTTCACTGTAGGCCTCAATGATCTCCAAATATCCATTTGCAGATACTACAAAAAGACTGTTTCCAAACTACTCAATCAAAAGAAATGTTCAACTCTGTGAGATAAATGCACACATCACAAAGGAGTATCTCAGAATGCTTCTGTCTAGTTTTTATGTGACGGTATTTCCTTTTTCACTATAGGCCTCAAAGTGCTCCAAATTTCCATTTACATATTCTACAAAAAGACTTTTTCTAACCTGCTCAATCAACAGAAAGTTTCAACTCTGTGGACTGAAAGCACACATCACAAAGAAATTTCTCAGAATGCGTCTGTCTAGCTTTTCTCTGAGGATATTTCCTATGTCCCCAGAGGCCACAAGGGACTGACAAATATCCCTTTGCAGCTTCTATAAAAAAGACTGTTTCCAAACTGCGCAATAAAAAGCAAGTTTCAACTCTGTGAGATGAATGCACTCATCACAAAGTAGTTTCTCAGAATGCTTCTGTCTAGTTTTTATGCAAAGATATTTCCTTTTCCACCGTAGGCCTCAAAGCACTCCGAATATCCATTTCCAGATACTACAAAAAGACTTTTTCAAAACAACTCAATCAAAAGAAATGTTCAACTCTGTGAGATGAATGCACACATGACAAAGAAGTTTCTCAGAATGCTTCTGCCTTGTTTTTATGAGATTTTTCCTTTTTCACCATGGGACTCAAAGCACTCCAAATATGCATTTTTCAGATTCTACAAAAAGACTGTTTCTGAACTGCTCAATCAAAAGAAAGTTTCAACTCTGTGGGATGAAAACTCACATCACAAAGTAGCGTCTTAAATTGTTCATGTCGAGCTTTTATGTGAAGATATTTCTGATTTCCCCAAATGCCTCAATGGGCTCACAAATTTCCCTTTTCAAATTCTACAAATCAACTATTTCCAAACTATTCAATCAAAAGAAATATTCAACTCTGTGAGATGAATGCAAACATCACAAAGAAGTTTCTCAGAATGCTTCAGTCCAGATATTATGTGAAGATATTTCCTTTTCAAAAATAGGCCTCAAATCACTCCACATATCCACTTGCAGATACTATAAAAAGACTGTTTCAAAACCGCTCAATCAAAAGAAAGGTTCATCTCTATGAGATAAATGCACAAAACACTAAGAAGTTTCTCAGAAAGTTTCTGTCTAGTTTTTATGTGAAGATATTTCCTATTTCCCCATAGGCCTCAATTGGCTCAAAAATTTCCCTTTGCAGATTCTACAAAAAGAGCGTTTCCAAACTGCTTAATCAAAAGAAAGGTTCAACTCTGTGAGATGAATGCACACATGACAAAGTAGTTTCCCAGAATGCTTCTGTGTAGTTTTCATGTGAAGATATTTCCTTTTCCACCATAGGCCTCAAATCGCTCTAAATATCCACTTGCAGATTCTACAAAAAGAGTGTTTCAAAACTGCTCAATCAAAAGAAAGGTTCAACTCTGTGAGATGAATTCACACATCACAAGGGAGTTTCTCAGAATGCTTCTGTCTAGTTTTTATGTGGAGATATTTTCTTTTCTACCATAGGACTAAAGGAGTCCAAATCTCCACTTGCAGATCCTACAAAAAGATTATTTCAAAATTGCTCATTCAAAAGAGAGGTTCAACTCTTTAAGATGAATGTACACATCACAAAGAAGTTTCTCAGAATGGTTCCGTCTACTTTTTCTGTGAAGGTGTTTCCTTTTCCACCATACACCTCAAATTGCTCTAAATATCCATTTTCAGATTTTCAGATTCTACAAAAAGACTGTCTCCAAACTGCTCAATCAAAAGAAAGTTTCACCTCTGCAAGAGGAAAGCACACACCACAAAGAAGCTCCTCAGAATGGTTTGTCCAGTTTTTATTTGAAGATATTTTCTATTTCCCCGGAGACCTCAAAGGGCTCACAAATTATCCATTTGCAGATTCTAGAAAAAGATGGTTTCCAAACTCCTCAATCAAAAGATAGTTTCAACTCTGTGAGATGAATGCACACATCACAAAGTAGTTTCTCAGAATGCTTCTGTCTAGTTTTTATGTGAAGATATTTCCTTTTCCACCATAGGACACAAAGCACTCCAAATATCCATTTGCAGATTCTACAAAAGACTCTTTCCAAACTGCTCAATCAAAAGAAAATTTCAACCCTGTGGAAAGAAAGCACACATCACAAATATTTTCTCAGAATGCTTCTGTCTAGTTTTTATTTGAAGATATTTCCTGTTTCCCCAGAGGCCTCAAAGGGCTCACAAATTATCCCTTTGCAGAATCTACAAAAAAGATGGTTTCCAAACTCCTCAATCAAAAGACAGTTTCAACTCTGTGAGATGAATGCACACATCACAAAGTAGTTTCTCAGAATGCTTCTGTCTAGTTTTTATGTGATATTTCCTTTTCCACCATAGGCCTCAGAACACTCCAAATATTCATTTCCAGATAGTCCAAAAAGACTGTTTGAAAACTGCTCAATCAAAAGAAAGGTTCAACTCTGTGAGGTGAATGCACACATCACAAAGAAGTTTCTCAGAATGCTTCTGTCTAGTTTTTATGTGAAGGTATTTCCTTTTCCACCATAGGCCTCAAAGCACTACAAATATCTACTTGCAGATTGCACAGAAAGAGGGTTTCAAAGCTACTCGCTCGAAAGACAGGCTCAACTGTGATATGAATGCCCACATCACAAAGAAGTTTCTCAGAATGCTTCTGTCTAGTTATCATGTGAAGATATTTCCTTTTTCACCATAGTCCTCAAATCCTTCCAATTATCCATTTGCAGATTCTCCAAAAAGAGTTTTTCCAAACTGCTCAATCAAAAGTAAGGTTCAACTCTGTGAGTTCAATGCACACATCACAAAGTAGTTTCTCAGAATGCTTCCGACTAATTTTTATATGAAGATATTTCCGTTTCCACCAGAGGCCTCAAAGTGCTTCAAATATCCAATTTCAGATTCTACAAAAAGAGTATTTCAAGACTGCTGAATCAAAAGAAAGTTTCAACTCTTTGAGATGAATGCACACATCACAGAGAAGTTTCTCAGAATGCTTCTGTCTAGTTTTTAGGCGAAGATATTTCCTTTTTTACCATAGACCTCAAAGCGCTCCAAATATCCACTTCCAGATACTACAAAAAGACTGCTTCCAAACTGCTCAATCAAAAGAAAAGTTCAACTCTGTGAGATGAAAGAAGACATCACAGAGGAGTTTCTCAGTGTGCTTAAGTCAAGTTTTAAGTGACGATATTTTGTTTTTCACCATAGGCCTCAAAGTGCTCCAAACAACCATTTGCAGATTCCGTAAAAAGACTGTTTCCAAAATGCTCAATCAAAAGAAAGTTTCAACTCTGTGTGATGAAAGCACACGTCACAAAGAAGTTTCTCAGAAATATTCTGTCTAATTTTTCTGTGAAGACATTTCTTATTTCCCATAGGCCTCAATGGGCTCACAAATCTCCCTCTGCAGATTGTATAAAACGACTGTTTCAAAACTGCTCCATCAAAAGTAAGGTTCAACTCTGTGACATGAATGCACACATCACAAAGAAGTTTCTCAGAATGCTTCTGTCTGGGTTTTAGGTGAAGATATTTCCTTTTCCATGATAGGCCTAAAAGCACTCCAAATATCTACTTGCAGATTCTACAAAAAGACTGTTTCCAAACTGCTCAGTCATAAGAAAGTTTCAACTCTGTGAGATGAAAGCACTCATCACAAAGAGGTTTCTCAGAAAGTTACTGTCTAGTTTTTATGTGAAGATATTTCCTATTTCCCCATAGGTCTCAATGGGCTCACAAATATCCCTTTGCAGATTCTATGAAAAGACTACCTCCAAACTGCTGAATCAAAAGAAAGTTCAGGTTTGTGATATGAATGCACACGATCCAAATAAGTTTCTCAGAAAACTTCTGGTTAGTGTTTTTGTGAAGCTATTTCCTTTTACATCATAGACCTCAAAGCACTCCAAATATCCATTTGAAGATTCTAAAAAAAGAACCTTTCCAAACTTCTCAAGCAAAAGAAAGGTTCATTTCTGTGAGATGAATGCCCTCATCACAAAGAAGTTTCGCAGAATTATTCTGTATGGTTTTTATGTGAAGATATTGCCTTTTGCACCCCTGGCCTTAAACCTGTCCCAAATATACCAATGTAAATATTACAAACAGACTGCTTCTAAGCTGCTCCATCAAAAGAAAGGTGCAACTCTTTGAGATGAATGCACACATCACAAAGATGTTCCTCAGAATGCTTCTGTCTAGTTTTTATATGAAGATATTTCCTTTTCCATCATAGGCCTCAAAGTGCTCCAAATATCCACATGCAGATTCTATTAAAGAGTATTTTGAAACTGCTCAATCAAAAGAAAGGTTCAACTCTGTGAGATGAATGCACACATCACAAAGAAGTTTCTCAGAATGCTTCTGTCTAGTTTTTATGTGAGGATATTTCCTTTTTCGCCATAGGCCTCAAAGCACTACAAATATCCACTTGCAGATTCTACAAAAAGACTGTTTCCAAAATGCTCAATCAAAGAAAGTTTCAGCTCTCTGAGACGAAAGCACAAATCACAAAGAAGTTTCTCACAAATTTTCTGTCTAATTTTTATGTGAATATATTTCCTATTTCCCCATAGGCCTCAATGGTCTTACAAATATCCCATTGCAGATTCTACAGATTGACTGTTTCCGTACTGCTCAATCAGAAGAAACTTTCAACTCTGTGATGTGAATGCACCCATCATAAAGAAGTTTCTCAGAATGTTTCTGTCTAGTATATATGTGAATATATTTCCTTTTCCACTTTAGGCCACAAAGTGCTCAAAATATACACATGCAAATTCTACAAAAAGAGGTTTCCAAAACTGCTCAATGAAAAGAAAAGTTCAACTCTGTGGGATGAATGCTCACATCACAAAGAAGTTTCTCAGAATGCTTCTGTCTAGTTTTTATGTGAAGATATTTCCTTTTCCACCACAGATCTCAAACCACTCCAAATATCTACCTGCAGATTCTAAGAAAAAGAATGTTTCAAAACTGTTCAATCTAAAGAAATGTTCACCTCTGTGAGATGAATGCACATATCACAAAGAAGTTTCTCAGAATGTTTCTGTCCAGTTTTTATGTGAACATATTTCCATGTCAGCCATGTGTCTCAAAACACTCCAAATATCCACTTGTAGATACTACAAAAAGACTGTTTCAAAACTGCTCAAACAAAAGGTTCAACTCTGTGACATGAATGCACACATCACAAAGAAGTTTCTCTGAATGCTTCTGTCTAGTTTTTATGTGAAGATACTTCCTTTTTCAACTTAGGCCTCAAAGCGCTCCAAATATCCATTTGTAGATTGTACAAAAAGGCTCTTTCCAAACCACTCAATCAAAAGAAAGTTTCAACTCAGTGAGATGAAAGCACACATCACAAAGAAGTTTCTCAGAAACTTCCTGTCCAGTTTTTATGTGAAGATATTTCATATTTCCACATAGGCCGCAATGGGATCACAAGTATCCCTTGGCAGATTCTACGAAAAGACTGTTTCCAAACTGCTCAATCAAAAGAAATTTCAGGTTTGTGAGATGAATGAACACAATCCAAATATGTTTCTCAGAAGGCTTCTGTTTAGTGTCTATGTGAAAATATTTCCTTTTTCACCGTTGGCCTCAAAGCACTCCAAATATCCATTTGCAGATTCTACAAAAAGAGTGTTTCCAAGCTGCTCAATCAAAAGAAATGTTCAACTTTGTGAGATGAATGCCCACATCACAAAGAAGTCTTTCAGAACGATTCTGTCCTGTTTTTATATGAAGATATTGCCTTTTTCATCCCTAGCCTTAATCCTGTCACAAATATCCCTCTGCAGATACTACAAAAAGACTGCTTCCAAACTGCTCCATCAAAGGAAATTTCACCTCTGTGAGATGAAAACATACATCACAAAGTAGTCTCTCAGAATGCTTTTGTTTAGTTTCTATGTGAAGATATTTCCTTTTTCACCCCAGGCCTCAAACTGGTCACAAATATCCCTCTGCATATACCACAAAAAGAGTGTTTCCAAACTGCTCTATCAAAAGAAAAGTTCAACTCTGTGAGATGAATGCACACATCACAAATAAGTTTGTCATAATGCTTCTCTCTAGTTTTTATGTGAATATATTTCCTATTTCACCATTGGACTCAAATCGCTGCAAATATCCATTTGCAGATTCTTCAAAAACAAAGCTTCCCACCTGCTCAATCAAAAGAAATGTTCAACTCTGTGAGATGAATGCACACATCAGAAAGAAGTTTCTCAGAATGCTTCTGTCTTGTTTTTATTTAAATATATTTCCTATTATACCGTAGGACAAAAAGGGCTCACAAATATCCCCATGCAGATTCTATGAAAAGTCTCTTTCCAAACTGCTCAATCAAAAGAAAGATTCGAATCTGTGAGATGAATGCACACATCACAAAGAAGTTTCTCAGAATCCTTCTGTCTAGTTTTTATGTGAAGATATTTCCTTTTTCACTATAGGCCTCAAAGCGATCCAAATATAAATTTGCAGACTCTACAAGAAGATTATTTCCAAACTGTTCAGTCAAAAGAGAGGTTCAACCCTCTGAGATGAAAGCATACATCAATAAGAAGTTTCTCAGAAAGCTTCTGTCTAGTTTTTTTTTTTCTTTTCTTTTTTTTTTTTTAATTTTTTTTTATTATACTCTAAGTTTTAGGGTACATGTGCACATTGTGCAGGTTAGTTACATATGTATACATGTGCCATGCTGGTGCGCTGCACCCACTAACGTGTCATCTAACATTAGGTATATCTCCCAATGCTATCCCTCCCCCCTCCCCCGACCCCACCACAGTCCCCCGAGTGTGATATTCCCCTTCCTGTGTCCATGTGATCTCATTGTTCAATTCCCACCTATGAGTGAGAATATGCGGTGTTTGGTTTTTTGTTCTTGCGATAGTTTACTGAGAATGATTGTTTCCAATTTCATCCATGTCCCTACAAAGGACCTGAACTCATCATTTTTATGGCTGCATAGTATTCCATGGTGTATATGTGCCACATTTTCTTAATCCAGTCTATCATTGTTGGACATTTGGGTTGGTTCCAAGTCTTTGCTATTGTGAATAGTGCCGCAATAAACATACGTGTGCATGTGTCTTTATAGAAGCATGATTTATAGTCCTTTGGGTATATACCCAGTAATGGGATGGCTGGGTCAAATGGTATTTCTAGTTCTAGATCCCTGAGGAATCGCCACACTGACTTCCACAATGGTTGAACTAGTTTACAGTCCCACCAACAGTGTAAAAGTGTTCCTATTTCTCCACATCCTCTCCAGCACCTGTTGTTTCCTGACTTTTTAATGACTGCCATTCTAACTGGTGTGAGATGATATCTCATAGTGGTTTTGATTTGCATTTCTCTGATGGCCAGTGATGATGAGCATTTCTTCATGTGTTTTTTGGCTGCATAAATGTCTTCTTTTGGGAAGTGTCTGTTCATGTCCTTCGCCCACTTTTTGATGGGGTTGTTTGTTTTTTTCTTGTAAATTTGTCTGAGTTCATTGTAGATTCTGGATATTAGCCCTTTGTCAGATGAGTAGGTTGCGAAAATTTTCTCCCATTTTGTAGGTTGCCTGTTCACTCTGATGGTAGTTTCTTTCGCTGTGCAGAAGCTCTTTAGTTTAATTAGATCCCATTTGTCAATTTTGGCTTTGGTTGCCATTGCTTTTGGTGTTTTGGACATGAAGTCCTTGCCCACGCCTATGTCCTGAATGGTAATGCCTAGGTTTTCTTCTAGGGTTTTTATGGTTTTAGGTCTAACGTTTAAATCTTTAATCCATCTTGAATTGATTTTTGTATAAGGTGTAAGGAAGGGATCCACTTTCAGCTTTCTACATTTGGCTAGCCAGTTTTCCCAGCACCATTTGTTAAATAGGGAATCCTTTCCCCATTGCTTGTTTTTCTCAGGTTTGTCAAAGATCAGGTAGTTGTAGATATGCGGCATTATTTCTGAGGGCTCTGTTCTGTTCCATTGATCTATATCTCTGTTTTGGTACCAGTACCATGCTGTTTTGGTTACTGGAGCCTTGTAGTATAGTTTGAAGTCAGGTAGTGTGATGCCTCCAGCTTTGTTCTTTTGGCTTAGGATTGACTTGGCGATGCGGGCTCTTTTTTGGTTCCATATGAACTTTAAAGTAGTTTTTTCCAATTCTGTGAAGAAAGTCATTGGTAGCTTGATGGGGATGGCATTGAATCTGCAAATTACCTTGGGCAGTATGGCCATTTTCACGATATTGATTCTTCCTACCCATGAGCATGGAATGTTCTTCCATTTGTTTGTGTCCTCTTTTATTTCCTTGAGCAGTGGTTTGTAGTTCTCCTTGAAGAGGTCCTTCACATCCCTTGTAAGTTGGATTACTAGGTATTTTATTCTCTTTGAAGCAATTGTGAATGGGAGTTCACTCATGATTTGGCTCTCTGTTTGTCTGTTGTTGGTGTATAAGAATGCTTGTGATTTTTGTACATTGATTTTGTATCCTGAGACTTTGCTGAAGTTGCTTATCAGCTTAAGGAGATTTTGGGCTGAGACGATGGGGTTTTCTAGATAAACAATCATGTCGTCTGCAAACAGGGACAATTTGACTTCCTCTTTTCCTAATTGAATACCCTTTATTTCCTTCTCCTGCCTGATTGCCCTGGTCAGAACTTCCAACACTATGTTGAATAGGAGCGGTGAGAGAGGGCATCCCTGTCTTGTGCCAGTTTTCAAAGGGAATGCTTCCAGTTTTTGCCCATTCAGTATGATATTGGCTGTGGGTTTGTCATAGATAGCTCTTATTATTTTGAAATACGTCCCATCAATACCTAATTTATTGAGAGTTTTTAGCATGAAGGGTTGTTGAATTTTGTCAAAGGCTTTTTCTGCATCTATTGAGATAATCATGTGGTTTTTGTCTTTGGCTCTGTTTATATGCTGGATTACATTTATTGATTTGCGTATATTGAACCAGCCTTGCATACCAGGGATGAAGCCCACTTGATCATGGTGGATAAGCTTTTTGATGTGCTGCTGGATTCGGTTTGCCAGTATTTTATTGAGGATTTTTGCATCAATGTTCATCAAGGATATTGGTCTAAAATTCTCTTTTTTGGTTGTGTCTCTGCCCGGCTTTGGTATCAGAATGATGCTGGCCTCATAAAATGAGTTAGGGAGGATTCCCTCTTTTTCTATTGATTGGAATAGTTTCAGAAGGAATGGTACCAGTTCCTCCTTGTACCTCTGGTAGAATTCGGCTGTGAATCCATCTGGTCCTGGACTCTTTTTGGTTGGTAAACTATTGATTATTGCCACAATTTCAGAGCCTGTTATTGGTCTATTGAGAGATTCAACTTCTTCCTGGTTTAGTCTTGGGAGAGTGTATGTGTCGAGGAATGTATCCATTTCTTCTAGATTTTCTAGTTTATTTGTGTAGAGGTGTTCGTAGTATTCTCTGATGGTAGTTTGTATTTCTGGGGGATCGGTGGTGATATCCCCTTTATCATTTTTTATTGTGTCTATTTGATTCTTCTCTCTTTTTTTCTTTATTAGTCTTGCTAGCGGTCTATCAATTTTGTTGATCCTTTCAAAAAACCAGCTCCTGGATTCATTGATTTTTTGAAGGGTTTTTTGTGTCTCTATTTCCTTCAGTTCTGCTCTGATTTTAGTTATTTCTTGCCTTCTGCTAGCTTTTGAATGTGTTTGCTCTTGCTTTTCTAGTTCTTTTAATTGTGATGTTAGGGTGTCAATTTTCGATCTTTCCTGCTTTCTCTTGTGGGCATTTAGTGCTATAAATTTCCCTCTACACACTGCTTTGAATGCGTCCCAGAGATTCTGGTATGTGGTGTCTTTGTTCTCGTTGGTTTCAAAGAACATCTTTATTTCTGCCTTCATTTTGTTATGTACCCAGTAGTCATTCAGGAGCAGGTTGTTCAGTTTCCATGTAGTTGAGCGGCTTTGAGTGAGATTCTTAATCCTGAGTTCTAATTTGATTGCACTGTGGTCTGAGAGATAGTTTGTTATAATTTCTGTTCTTTTACATTTGCTGAGGAGAGCTTTACTTCCAACTATGTGGTCAATTCTGTCTAGTTTTTATGTGAAGATATTTCCTATTTCACCATAGGCCATAAAAGGCTCACAAATATCCCACTGCAGTTTCTACAAAAAGACTGTTTCCAAAGTGCTCAATCAAAAGAAAGTTCCAACTCTGAGATGAATGCACACATCACAAATAAGTTTCTTAGAAGTCTTCTGTCTAGTTTATATGTGAGGATATTTCTTTTTCACCATAGGCCTCAAACACCTTGGAAATAGCCCTTCGCAGATTGTACAAAAAGACTCTGTCAAAATGGCTCAATCAAAAGAAAGGTTCAACTGTGTGAGATGAATGCAAGCATCACAACGAAGTTTCTTAGAATGCTTCTGTATAGTTTTTATGTTAGTATATTTCCTTTTTCACCACAGGCCCAAAGCTTTTCAAATATCCATTTGCAGATTCTTCAGAAAGACAGTTTCCAAACTGCTAACTGAAAGAAAACTTCAACTCTGTGAAATAAATGCAGGCATCACAAAAAAAAGGTTCTCAGAATGCTTGTGTCTAGTTTTTATGTGAAGATATTTCCTTTTTCACCATAGGCCTCAAAGCGCTCCAAATATCCACTTGCAGATTCAACAAAAAGAGTGTTTCAGAAATACTCAATCAAAAGAAAGGGTGAACTCTTTGAGATGAATGCACACATCACAAAGAATTTTTTCAGAACGTTTTTGTCTAGTTATGATGTGAAGATAATATGCATTTGCAGATACTACGAAAAGAGAATTTCCAAACTGCTCAAACAAAAGAAAGTTTCACCCCTGTGAGATGAAATCACTCATCCTAAAGAAATTTCCCAGAATGCTTCCATTTAGTTTGTATGTGAAGATATTTCCTTTTTCACCATAGTCCTCAAAGCACTCCAAATATCCATTTGTAGATTTTACAAAAGGACTGTTTCCAAACTTCTACATCAAAAGAAACGTTCAACTCTTAGATAAATGCACACATCACAAATAATTTTCTCAGAATGCTTCTGTATCCTTTTTATGTGAAGTTATTTCCTTTTCACCATAGGCCTGAAACAAGTCACAAATGTCCCTGTGTGGATATGACAAAAAGACTGTTGCCAAACTGCTCCATCAAAAGAAAGGTTCAACTCTGTGAGATGAATGCACACATCACAAAGAAGTTTCTCAGAATGCTTCTGTCTAGTTTTTATGTGAAGATAATTCCTTTTCCAACATATGTCTCAAAGCTCTCCAAATATCTCTTTGCAGATTCTACAAAAGGAGTGTTTCCAACCTGCTCAATCAAAAGAACACTTCAACTCTGTGTGATGAATGCACACATCCAAAGAAGTTTCCCAGAATGCTTCTGTCTAATTTCTATGTTAAGATATTTCCTTTTCCACCCCAGGCCTCAAACCTGTCACAAATATCCCTCTGCAAGTACCACAAAAAGACTCTTTCCAAACTGCCCCACCAAAAGAAAAGTTCAACTCTGGGAGATAAATGCACACATCACAAAGAAGTTTCTCAGAATGCTTCTCTCAAGTTTTATGTGAATATATTTCCTATTTCACCATTGGCTTCAAATTGCTACAAATATCCATTTGCAGATTCTGCAAAAACAGTGCTTCCAACCTCCTCAATCAAAAGAAAGGTTCAACTTTGTGAGATGAATGCACACAACAGAAAGAAGTTTCTCAGAATGCTTCTGTCTAGTTTTGATGTGAACATACTTCCTTCTTACCATAGGCCTTAAACCGGTCACAAATATGCCTCTGCAGATACTACAAAAGACTGTTTCCAAACTGCTGCATCAAAAGGAAGTTTCAACTCTGTGAGATGAATGAACGCATCAAAAAGAAGTTTCTCAGAATGCTTCTGCCTCGTTTTTATGTGAAGATATTTCCTTTTTCACCATAGTCCTCAAAGCACTCCAAATATCCATTTGCAAATTCTGCAAAAAGAGTGTTTCCAAACGGCGCAATCAAAAGAAGGGTTCAACAATGTGAGATGAATGCCCACACCACAAAGAAGTTTCTCAGAATGCTTCTGTCTAGTTTTTATGTGAATATATTTCCTTTTTACCATAGGCCTTAAACTGGTCAGAAATATGCCTCTGCACATACTAAAAAAGACTGTTTCCAAACTGCTGCATCAAAAGAAATGTTCAACTCTGTGAGATGAGTGCAGACATCACAAAGAAGTGCCTGAGAATGCTTCTGTCTAGTTTTTATGTGAAGATATTTCCTTTTTCACCCTAGGCCTTAAATCTGTCACAAATATCCCACTGCACATATTACAAAAAGACTGTTTCAAAAGTGCTCCATCAATAGAAAGGTACAACTCTCAGAGATGGATGCACACATCACAAAGAAGTTTCTCAGAATGCTTCTGTCTAGTTTTTATGTGAAGATATTTCCATGTTCACCATAGGCCTCAAATCGCTCTAAATATCCATTTGCATATTCTACAAAAAGACTGCTTCCAAACTGCTCAATGAAAAGAAACGTTCAACTCTGTTAGATGAAAGCATACATCACAAAGAAGTTTCTCAGAAATGTTCTGTCAAGTTTTTATGTGAAGATATTTCCAATTACACCATAGGCCATAAAGGGCTCACAAATATCCCTGTGCAGATCTATGAAAAGACTGTTTATCAAACCATGCAATCAAAGGAAAGGTTCAACTCTGTGAGATGAATGCACACATCACAAAGAAGTTTCTCAGAATGCTTCTGTCTAGTTTTTTGTGAGGATATTTCTTTTTCAACATTGGCCTCAAACGGCTCAGACACATACCTTTGCAGCTTGTAAAAAAGACTGTTTCCAAACTGCTCAATCAAAAGAAAGGTTCAACTCTCTGAGATGAATTCAGACATCATAAAAAAGTTTCTCAGAATGCTTCTGTCTTGTTTTTATGTGAAGATATCTCCTTTTTCACCATAGGCCTTAAACTGGTCACAAATATCCATCTACAGATACTACAAAAAGACTGTTTCCAAAGTGCTCAATCAAAAGAAAGATTCAACTTTGTGAGATGAAAGCATACATAACAAAGAAGTTTCTCAGAAAGCTTCTGTCTAGTTTTTATGTGAAGATATTTCCTATTTCACCATAGGCCATATAAGGCTCACAAATATCCCTGTGCAGATTCTACAAAAAGACTGTTTCAAAACTGCTAAATCAAAAGAGAGGTTCAACTTTGTGAGGTGAATGCATACATCACAAAGTAGATTCTCAGAATGCTTCTGTCTAGTTTTTATGTGAAGATATTTCCTTTTTCAATATAGGCCTTATAACAGTCACAAATATCCCTCTGCAGATACTACAAAAAGAATGTTTACCCACTGCTGCATCATAAGAAAGGTTCAACTCTGTGAGATGAATGCACACATGACAAAGAAGTTTCTCAGAATCCTTCTGTCTAGCTTTTATGTGAAGATATTTTATGTGAAGATATATGAACATAGTTTTGATGTGAAAATATTTCACCATAGGCCATAAAGGGCTCACAAATATCAATGTGCAGATTTTGTGAAAAGACTGCTTCCAAACTGCTCAATCAAAAGAAATGTTCAACTCTGTGAGAAGAGTGCACACATCACAAAAAGTTTCTCAGCATGTTTCTGCCTAGGTTTTATGTGAAGATATTTCTTTTTCACCATAGGCCTCGAACAGCTCAGAAATATCCCTTCACAGATTGTACAAAAACACAGTTTCCAAACTGCTCAATCAAAAGAAAGGTTTAATTCCATGAGATGAATGCAGGCATCACAAAGTATTTTCTCAGAATGCTTCTGTCTAGTGTTATATGAAGATATTTCCTTTTTCACCATAGGCCCCAAATAGCTCCAAATATCCATTTGCAGATTCTAAAAAAAGACTCTTCCCAAACTGCTTAATTAAATGAAAGGTTAAACTCTGTGAGATGAATACACACATCATGAAGAAGTTTCTCAGAATACTTCTGTGTAGTTTTTATGTGAAGATATTTCCTTTTTCAGCATTGGCCTCAAAGAGCTGCAAATATCCATTTTCATGTTCTACAAAAAGACTGTTTCCAAACTGCTCAATCAAAAGAAAGGTTCAATTCTGTGTGATGAAACCATACATTGCACAAAAGTTTCTCAGAAAGCTTCTGTCTAGTTTTTAGGTGAAGATACTTCCTATTTCACCATAGGCCATAAAAGGCTCACAAATATCCCTGTACAGATTCTACAAAAAAGACTCTTTCCAAACTGCTTACTCAAAAGATAGGTTCAACTTCATAAGATGAATGCGCAGATCACGTAGAAGTTTCTTAGAAAGCTTCTGTTTACTTTTTATGTGAATATATTTCGTTTTTTCACCATAGGCCTGGCCTCAAAGTGCTAAAATATCCATTTGCAGATTCTACAAAAAGACGGTTTCCAAACTCCTCAATAAAAAGAATGGTTCAAGTCTGAGAGATGAAAGCACACATCACAAAGAAGTTGCTCACAATTCTTCTGTCTGATTTTTATGTTAAGATATTTCCTTTTCACCATATGTCACAAAGTGCTCCAAATATCCCTGGGCGAATTCTACAAAAGGCTGTTTTGAAACTGCTTAATCAAAACAAAGTTCCAACACTGTGAGATGAAGCACACATCACAAAGAAGTTTGTCAGAAAGCTTCTGTCTGGTTTTTAAGTGAAGATATTTCCTATTTCAACATAGGCCTCAATGGGCTCACAAATATCTCTTTACAGATTGTACAAAAAGACTGGTTCCAAACTACTCCATCAAAAGAAAGTTTCAACTCACTGAGAGGAATGCACACATCACAAAGAAGTTTCTCAGAATGCTTCTGCATAATATTTATGTGAAGACACTTCTTTTTCACCATAGGCCTCAAAAAGCTCAGAAATAGCCCTTTGCTGATTGTGCAAACAGATTTTTTCCAAACTGCTCAATCAAAAGAAAGCTTCAAGTCTTTGAGGTGAATGCACACATCACAAGGAAGTTTCTCAGAAAGATTCTGTCTAGTTTTCATGTGAATATATTTCCTTTTTCACCATAGGCCTCCAACTGCTGAAAATTAACCCTCTGTAGAGAGTACAAAAAGACTGTTTCCAAACTGCGCAATCAAAAGAAAGGTTCACCTCTGTGAGATGAATGCACACAACACAAAGAAGTTTCTCAAAACGCTTCTCTCTAGTTTTCCAGTGAAGACATTTCCGTTTTCATCATAAGGTCAAACTGCTCACAAATATCTCTTTGCAGAATCTACAAAAAGACTCTTTACAGACTGCTCAAGCAAAAGAAGTTTCAACTCTGTGCAATGAATGCACACATCACAAAGTAGTTTCTCAGAAACCCTCTGTCTAGTTTCTATGTGAAGATATTTCCTTTTTCAACATAGGCCTCAAAGCACTTCAAATATCCATTTGCACATTCTATAAAAAGATGGTTTCCAAACTGCTCAATTAAAAGAAAGGTTCAACCCTGTGAGATGAAAGCACACATTACAAAGCAATTTCTCAGAATGCTTCCGTCTAGTTTTTATGTAAAGATATTTCCATTTTCACCATAGGCCTCAAGCCACTCACAAATATCCCTCTGCAAATTGCACAAAAAGACTGTTTCCAAACTGATCAATCAAAAGAAATGTTCAACTCTGTGACATGAAAGTACACATCAAAAACAAGTTTCTCAGAAAGATTCTGTCTAGTTCTTATGTGAAGATATTTCCTTTTTCATGATAGGCCTTAATGCGCTAACAAATATCCCATTGCAGATTCTACATAAAGACTGTTTCCAATCTGCTCAATCAAAAGAAAGTTTCAAATCCATGAGATGAATGCACACATCACAAAGAAGTCTCTCAAAAACATTATGTCTAGTTTTTATGTGAAGATATTTCATTTTTCACCACAGTCCTCAAAGCGCTCAAAATATCCATTTACAGATTCCACAAAAAGGCTGTTTCCAAACTGCTCAATCAATAGAAAGCATCAAAACTGTGAGATGAAAGTGCACCTCACAAAGAAGTTTCTCAGAAAGCTTCTGTCTAGTTTTTATGTGAAGATACTTCCTATTTCACCATAGACCTCAATGGGCTCACAAATATCCCTTCGCAGATTCTACAAAAAGACTGTTTACAAACTGCTCAATCAAAAGAAAGGTTCAACACTTTGAGATAAATACACACATCACAAAGAAGTTTCTAAGAATGCTTCTGCTTAGTTTTTATGTGAAGATATTTCCTTTTTCACCATATGCCTCAAACGGCTCAAACACATCCTTCTGCAAATACTTCAAAAAGACTGTTTCCAAACTGCTCAATCAAAAGAAAAGTTCAACTCTGTGAGATGAATGCACACATCACAAAGAAGTTTCCCAGAAATTTTGTGTCTAGTGTTTATGTGAAGATATTTCTTTTTCACCATAGGCCTCAAACCACTCAGAAATTTCCCCTTGCACATTGTATAAAAAGACTGTTTCCAAAGTGCTACATTAAAAGAAAGGTTCAACCTTGTGAGATGAATGCACATATCACAAATAAGTTTCTCAAAAAGATTCTATCTAGTGTTTATGTGAAGATATTTCCTTTTTTCACCTTAGGCCTCAAAGCGCTCCAGTATCCATTTGAAGATTCTACAAAAAGACTGTTTCCACACTACTCAATCAAAAGAAAGGTTCACATCTGTGAGATGAAAGCACACATCACAAAGAAATTTCTCAGAAAGATTCTGTCTAATTTTTATGTGAACATATTACCTGATTTCACCATAGGCTTCAAAGTGCTCCAAATATCCATTTGCAGAGTCTACAAAATGACTGTCTCCAAACTGCTCAATCAAAAGAAAAGCTCAACTCTGTGAGATGAAACACACAACAAAAAGAAGTTTCTCAGAATGTGTCTGTCTAGTTTTTATGTGAAGATATTTCCTATTTCACCATAGGCCTCAAAGGGCTCACAAATATCCCTTTGCAGATTCTACAAAAGACTGCTTCCAGACTGCACAATGAATAGAAAGATTCAAATGTGTGAGATGAATGCAAGCATCAAAAGAAGTTTCTCAGAATGCTTCTGCCTAGTTTTTACGTGAAGATATTTCTTTTTCACCATAAGCCTCAAAACGCTAACAAATATCCCTCTGAGGAATCTACAAAAAGACTGTTTTTCAAACTGCTCAATCAGAAGAAAGTTTCAACTTTGTTAGATGAATGCACAAATCAAAAAGAACTTTCTCAGAAAGTGTCTGTCTAGTTTTTATGTGAAGATATTTCCTTTTTCACCACAGGCCTCAAAGTGCTGTAAATATCCATTTGCAGTTTCTATGAAAAGACTGTTTCCAAACTGTTCAATCAAAAGAACGGTTCAACTCTGTGAGATGAAGGCATACATCACTAGAAGTTTCTCAGAAAGCTTCTGTTTAGTTTTTATGTGAAGATATTTCCTTTTTCACCATAGGCCTCAAAGGGCTCACAAATATCCCTTTTCAGATTCTACAAAAAGACTGTTTCCAAACTGCTCAATTAAAACGAAGTTTCAAATCTGTGAGATGAATGCACACATGGCAAAGAAGATTCTCAGAATGCTTCTGTCTTGTTTTTATGTGAAGATATTTCCTTTTTCACCGTTGACCACAAAGCACTCCAAATATCCACTTGCAAATTGTACAAAAGTCTGTTTCCAAACTGCTCAATCGAAAGAAAGGTTCAGCTCTGTGAGATGAAAGCACAAATCACAAAGAAGTTTCTCAGAAAGCTTCTGTCTAGTTTTTATGTGAATATTTTCCCTATATCACCATATGCCTCAAAGAGTTACAAATGTCTCTTTTCAGATTCTACAAAAAGACTCTTTCCAAACTGCTCAATCAAAAGAAACGTTCAGCAATGTGAGATGAATGTACAAATCACAAAGCAGTTTCTCAGAATATTTCTGTGTAGTTTTTATGTGAAGACATTTCCTTTTTCACATAGGACTCAAACCGCTCACAAATATCCCTCTGCATATTCTATGAAAAGACAGTTTATAAACTTCTCAATCAAAAAGAAGTTTGAACTCTGTGAGATTAATGCACAAATCACAAAGAAGTTTCTCAGAATGCTTCTGTCTAGTCTTTGTTTGAAATATTTCCTTTGTTACAAAGGACTCAAAACTCTCCAAATATCCATTTGCAAATGCTACAAAAAGGCTGTTTCCAATAAGCTCAATCAAAAGAAAGCTTCAACTCTATGAGGTGAAAGCACACATCACAAAGAAGTGTCTCAGAAATCTTCTGTCTAACTTTTATGTGAAGATGTTTCTTTTTTACCATAGCCTCAAACCACTCACAAATATCCCTTTGCATATTACACAAAAAGACTGTTTCCCAAACTGCTCAACCAAAAGAAACTCTCAACTCTGTGAGATAAATGCACACATCACATAGCAGTTCCTCAAAAACTTCTGTCTAGTTTTTATGTGAAGATATTTCCTTTTGCACCATAGGTCTCAAACCTCTCACAAATATCCCTCTTCAGATTCGACTAAGAGATGGTTTCCAAACTGCTCAATGAAAAGAAATTTTCAACTCAGTGAGATGAATACACACATCCAAAGAAGTTTCTCAAAAAGCTTCTGTCTACTTTTTATGTGAAGATATTTCCTTTTTCACCAGAGGCCTCAAACCAATCACAAATATCTCCCTGAGGAATCCACAAAAAGACGGTTTCCAAAGTGCTCAATCAAAGCAAAGTTTCAACCCAATGAGATGAATGCACACATCACAAAGAAGTTTCCCAGAAAGCTTCTGTCTAGTTTTTATTTGAAGATATTTCATTTTTCACCATAGACCTCAAAGCTCTTTAATATCCCTTTGCAGATTCTACACAGAGATTGTTTCCAAACTGCTCTATCAAAAGAAAGGTTCGACTCTATGTGATGAAAGCACACACCACAAAGAAGTTTCTCAAAAAGCTTCTGTCTAGTTTTTATGTGAAGATATTTCCTTTTTCACCATAGGCCTCAAACTGCTCAGAATTATCCCTCTGCAAATTGTACAAAAATACTGTTTCCAATCCGCTCAATCAAAAGTAAGGTTCAAATCCGTGAGATGAATGCATACATCACAAAGAGGTTTCTCAGAAAGCTTCTATTTACTTTTTACGTGAAGATATTTCATTTTTCACCATAGTCCTCAAAGCGCTCCAAATATCCACATGCAGATTCTACAAAAAGACTGTTTCCAAACTGCTCAATCAAAAGAAAGATTCAACTCTGTGAGATGAAAGAACACATCTTCAAGAAGTTTCTCAGAAAGTTTCTGTCTGGTTTTCATGTGAAGATATTTCCTTTTTCATTGTAGTCCTTAATGGACTCACAAATATCCCTTTGCAGATTGTACAACAAGACTCTTTCAAAACTGCTCATTCAAAATAAAGGTTCAGCTCTGTGAGATGAATACACACATCACGAAGAAGTTTCTGAGAATCCTTCTGTGTAGTTTTCTGTGAAGATATTTCCTTTTTCAGATAGGAATCAAACCACTCACAGATTTGCAAAAAGACTCTTTCCAAAGTGCACAATCAAAAGAAAGGTTCAGCTCCCTGAGATGAATGCACACACGACAAAGAAGATTCTCAGAATGCTTCTGTCTAGTTTTTATGTGAAGATATTACCTTTTTCACGATAGTCCTCAAACCACTCACAATTATCTCTCTGCAGATTCTACAAAAAGACTGTTTCCAAAGTTCTCTATGAAAAGAAAGTTCAACTCTGTGAGATGAATTCCCACATCACAAAGAAGTTTCTCAGAATGTTTTTGTCTAGTTTTTATGTAAAGATATTTCCTTTTCCACCATAGGCCTCAATCTGCTCACAAACATCCCTCTGCAGATTCTAAAAACAGACTGTTTCCCTGAACAACCTGCTCCTGAATGACCACTGGGTATATAATGAAACGAAGGCAGAAATAGAGATTTTCTTTGAAATCAATGAGAACAATGACAAAACATACCAGAATCTCTGGGACACATTCAAAGCAGTGTGTACAGGGAAATTTATAGCAATAAATGCCCACAAGAGAAAGCAGGAAAGATCAAAAATTGACAACCTAACATCACAATCGATTGAGCTAGAAAAGCAAGAGCAAACACATTCAAAAGCTAGCAGAAGGCAAGCAATAACTAAGATCAGAGCAGAACTGAAGGTAATAGGACACAAAATCCCTTCAAAAAATTAATGAATCCAGGAGCTGTTTTTTGAAAGGATCAACAAAATTGATAAACCACTAACAAGACTAATAAAAAAGAAAAGAGAGAAGAATCAAAGAGACACAATAAAAATTGATAAAGGGGATATCACAACTGATCCCACAGAAATACAAGCTACCATCAGAGAATACTATAAACACCTCTACATAAATAAATTAGAAAATCTAGAAGACATTGATAAATTCCTCAACACATACATCCTCCCAAGACTCAACTAGGAAGAAGTTGAATCTCTGAATAGATCAATAGCAGTCTCTGAAATTGAGGCAATAATTAATAGCTTACCAACCAAAAAAAGTCCAGGACCAGATGGATTCACAGCCGAACTCTACCAGAGGTAAAAAGAGGAGTTGGTACCATTCCTTCTGAAACTATTCCAATCAATAAAAAAAGAGGGAATCCTCCCTAACTCATTTTATGAGGCCAGCATCATCCTGATAACAAAGCCTGGCAGAGACACAACCAAAAAAAGATAATTTTAGACAAATATCCTTGATGAACATTGATGCAAAAATCCTCAATAAAATACTGGCAAACCGAAACCAACAGCACATCAAAAAGCTTGTCCACCATGATCAGGTGGGTTTCATCTCTGGGATGCAAAGCTGGTTCAACCTATGCAAATCAATAAACGTAATCCAGCATATAAACAGAACCAAAGACAAAAACCACATGATTATCTCAATAGATGCAGAAAAGGCCTTTGACAAATTTCAACAACCCTTCATGCTAAAAACTCTCAATAAATTAAGTATGATGGGATGTATCTCAAAATAATAAGAGCTATCTATGACAAACCCACAGCCAATATCATACTAAATGGGCAAAAACTGGAAGCATTGCCTTTGAAAACGGGCACAAGACAGGGATGCCCTCTCTCACCACTCCTATTCAACGTAGTGTTGGAAGTTTTGACAAGGGCAATCAGGCAGGAGAATGAAATAAAGGGTATTCAATTAGGAAAAGAGGAATTCAAATTGTCCCTGTTTGCAGATGACATGATTGTACATCGAGAAAACCCCATCATCTCAGCCCAAAATCTCCTCAAACTGATAAGCAAATTCAGCAAAGCCTCAGGACAAAATAAATGTACAAAAATCACAAGCACTCTTACACACCAATAACAGACAAACAGAAAGCCAAATTCTGAGTGAACTCCCATTCACAATTGCTTCAAAAACAATAAAATACCTAGGAATCCAACTTACAAGGGAAGTGAAGCACCTCTTCAAGGAGAACAACAAACCTCTGCTCAATGAAATAAAAGAGGATACAAACAAATGGAAGAACATTCCATGCTCATGGGTAGGAAGAATCAATGTCGTGAAAATGGCCATACTGCCCAAGGTAATTTACAGATTCAATGCCATCCCCATCAAACTACCAATGACATTCTTCACAGACTTGGAAGAAACTACTTTAAACTTCATATGGAACCAAAAAAGAGGCTGCATCACCAAGTCAATCCTAAGCCAAATGAGTAAAGCTGGAAGCATCACGCTACCTGACTTCAAACTATACTGCAAGGCTACAGTAACCAAAACAGCATGGTACTTGCAGCAAAACAGAGATATAGATCAATGGAACAGAACAGAGCCCTCAGAAATAGTGCCACGTATCTACAACTATCTGATCTTTGACAAACCTGACAAAAACAAGCAATGGGGACAGGATTCCCTATTTAATAAATGGTGCTGGGAAAACTGGCTAGCCGTATGTAGAAAGCTGAAACTGGATCCTTTCCTTACACCTTATACTAAAATTAATTCAAGATCAATTAAACACTTAAATGTTAGACCAAAAACCATAAAAACCCTAGAAGAAAACCTAGGCAATACCATTCAGGACATAGGCAACATAGGCATGGGCAAGGAAAAACAACAAAAGCAATGACAACAAAAGCCAAAATTAACAAATGAGATCTAATTAAACTAAAGAGCTTCTGCACAGCAAAAGAAACTACCATCAGAGTGAACAGGCAACCTACAGATTGGGAGAAAATTTTCGCAGCCTACTCATCTGACAAAGGGCTAATATCTAGAATCTACAATGAACTCAAACAAATTTACAAGAAAAAACAAACAACCCTATCAAAAAGTGGGCAAAGAATATGAACTGACACTTCTCAAAAGAAGACATTTATGCAGCCAAAAAACACGTGAAAAAACGCTCATCATACCTGGCCATCATCGAAACGCAAATCAAAACTACTATGGGATACCATCTCACACCAGTTAGAATGCTGATCATTAAAAAGTCCGGAAACAACAGGTGCTGGAGAGTATGTGGAGAAATAGCAACAGTTTTACACTGTTGCTGGGACTGTAAACTAGTTCAACCATTGTGGAAGTCAGTGTGGTGATTCCTCAGGAATCTAGAACTAGAAATACCATTTGAACCAGCCATCCCATTACAGGATATATACCCAAAGGATTATAAATCTTGCTGCTATAAAGACACATGCACATGTATGTTTATAGCAGCACTATTCACAATAGCAAAGACTTCGAACCAACCTAAGTGTCCAACAATGATAGACTGGATTAAGAAAATGTGACACATATACACCATGGAATACTATACAGCCATCAAAAGTGATGAGTTCATGTCATTTGTAGGGACATGGATGAAACTGGAAACCATCTTTCTGAGCAAACTATCGCAAGGACTAAAAACCAAACACCGCATGTTCTCACTCATAGGTGGGAATTGAACAATGAGAACACATGGACACAGGAAGGGGAACATCACACACCGGGGACTGCTGGGGCTGGGGGGAAGGGTGGTGGATAGCATTAGGAGATATATCTAATGCTAAATTACGAGTTAATGGGTGCAGCACGAAAACATGGCACATGTATACATATGTAACAAAACTGCACGTTGTGCACATGTACCCTAAATCTTAAAGTATAATAATAATGAAATAAAAAATTAAAAAGGTACCCTGAGAACCTCTGATTCAAATAAAGAACAGAGTTAATAAGAGTTTTCCTAAAAAAAAAGAGGAGTTTCTCAGAAAACTTCTGTCTAGTTTTTATTTGAAGGCATTTCCTATTTCACCGTAGACCTCTATGGGCTCACAAATATCCCTTTGCAGATTATACAAAAAGACTGTTTCCAAACTGCTCCATCAAAAGAAAGGTTCACTCTGTGAGATGAAAGAACACATAACAAAGAAGTTTCTCAGAATGCTTCTGTCTAGTTTTTATGTGAAGATATTTCCTATTACACCATAGGCCTCAATTTGTTCAAAAGTATCTATTACAGATTCTACAAAAAGTCTGTTTCCAAACTGCTTAATAAAAAAAGTTTCAATCTGTGAGATGAGTACACACATCACAAAGAAGTTTCTCGGAATGCTTCTCTCTAGTTTTTATTTGAAGATATTTCCTTCTTCACCGTAGGCCTAAAACTGCTCACATATATCCCTCTGCAGATTCCACAAAAAGACTGTTTCCAAACTGCTCAATCAAAAGAAAGTTTCAACTCTGTGAGATGAATGCAGACATCACAAAGATGTTCCTCAGAAATCTTCTGTTTAGTTTTTATGTGACGATATTTCCTTTTTCACTATAAGCCTTAAAGCGTTCCAATATCCATTCGCAGATTCAACAAAAAGGCTGTTCCCAAACTGCTCAATCAAAAGAAAAGTTCAACTCTTGAGATGAATGCACACATCACAAAGAAGTTTATCAGAATCTTTCTGTATGGTTTTTTTGTGAAGATACTTCTTTTTCACCATCGGCCTTAATGGGATCACAAATATCCCTTTGCAGATTCTACAAAAACAGTTTCCAAACTGCTCAATCAAAAGAAAGATTCAACTCTCTGAGATGAATGCAGACATCACAAAGAAGTTTCCCAGAAAGGTTCTGTCTAGTTTTTAAGTGAAGATTTCCTTTTTCACCATAGGCCTTAAAGCACTTTGAATATCCATTCGTAGATTCCACAAAAAGACTGTTTCCAAACTGCTCAATGAAACGAAAGGTTCAACTCTGTGACATGAAAGCACACATCTCAGAGAAGTTTCTCAGAAACCTTCTGTTTAGTTTTCATGTGAAGATATTTCCTGTTTCGCCATAGACCTCAAAGGGCTCACAAATATCCCTTTGCAGATTCCACAAAAAGACTGTTTGCAAAGTGCTCAATCAAAAGGAAGGTTCAACACTGTGAGATAAATGCACACATCACAAAGACGTTTCTCAGAATGCCTCTGTCTAGTTTTTATGTGAAGATATTTCATTTTCACCAAAGGTCTCAAACCGCTCAGAAATATCCCTTTGCAGATTGTACAAAAAGACCGTTTCCAAACTGCTCAATAAAGAGAAAGTTTCATCTCTGTGAGATGAATGCAAACATCACAAATAAGTTTCTCAAAAAACTTCTGTCTAGCTACTATATGAAGATATTTCCTTTTTCACCATAGGCCTCAAAGTGCTCAGAAATATCCCTTTGCAGATTCTACAAAAAGACTGTTTGCAAACTGCTCAATCAAAAGAAAGCTTCAACTCTGTTTGATGAATGCACACTTCACAAAGAAGTTTCTCAGGATGCTTCTGTCTAGTTTTTATTTAAAGATATTTCCTATTTCACCATAGACCTCATGTGGCTCACAAATATCCCTTTGCAGATTCTGCAAAAAGACTTTTTCCAAACTGCTCAATCAAAATAAATGTTCAACACTGTGAGATGAATGCACACATCACAAATAAATTTCTCAGACAACTTCTGTCTAGTTTTTATGTGAAGATATTTCATTTTTCAACATTTGCTTCAATGAGCTTCAAACATCCCTTTGCATATTCTACAAAAACACTGTTTCCAAACGGCTCAAACAAAAGAAAAGTTCAACTCTGGGAGATGAATGCACACATCACAAAGAAGTTTCTCAGAAAGCTTCTATCTAGTTTCTATGTGAAGATATTTCCTTTTCCACCATAGGCCTCAATGCACACAAAATATGCCTTGACAGATTCTACAAAAGACTGGTTCCAAACTGCTCAATCAAAATAAGGGTTCTACTCTGTGACGTGAATGCACACATCATAAGAAGCTTCTCAGAAAGCTTCTGTCTGGTCTTTATGTTGAGATATTTCCTTTTTCACCATTTGAATCAAAGAGCTCCATATATCTATTCACAGATTCTACATAAAGACAGTTGCAAAACTGCTCAATGAAAAGAAATTTTCAAATCTGTGAGATGAATGCACACATCACAAAGAAGCTTCTTAAAAAGCTTGTCTAGTTTTTATGTGAAGATATTTCCTTTTACACCATAGGCCTCAAATCACTCACAAATATACCTCTGCAGATTCTACAAAAGGACTGTTTCCAAACTGCTCAATCAAAAGAAAGTTTCAACTCTGTGAGATGAATGCACATATCACAAAGTAGTTTCTCAGGAAGCTTCTGTCTAGTTTTTATGTGAAGATATTTGCTTTTTTACCATGGGCCTCAAAGTTTTCCCACTATCCCTTTGTAGACTGTACAAAAGGACTGTTTGCAAACTGATCAATCAAAAGACAGTTTCAACTCTGTGAGATGAAAGCATACAACACAGAGAAGTTTCTTAGAAAGCTTCTTTGTAGTTTTTATGTGAAGATATTTCCTTTATCACCATAGGCCTCAAAGGGCTCATAATTATCCCTTTGAAGATTCCATAAAAAGACAGTTTCCAAACTGCTCAATCAAAAGAAAGTTTCAACTCTGTGAGATAAGTGCACACATCACAAAGAAGTTTCTCAGAAAGCATCTGTCTAGTTTTATGTGAAGATTTTTCTTATTTACCATAGGCTGCAAAGCACTCCAAATATGCCTTTGCAGATTCTACAAAAAGACTGTTTCCAAACTGCTCAAAGAAAAAAAAGTTCTAATCTGGGAGATGAATGCACACGTCACAAAGAAGTTTCTTGGAAAGCTTCTGTATAGTTTTTATATTGAGAAATTTCCCTTTCCACCATGGACCTCAAAGCACTCCAAGCATCCATACACAGATGCTACAAAAAGAAAGTATGCAAACTGCTCAAATAAAAGAAATGTTCAAGTCTGGAGGTGAAAGCCCACATCACAAAGGAGTTTCTGAGAAAGCTTCTGTCTAGTTTTTATGTGAATATTTTCCTTATTCAACATAGGCCTCAAAGCACTCCGTATATCCATTCGCAGATTCTACAAAAAGACTGGTTAGAATCTGATCAATGAAAAGAAAGGTTCACCTCTGTGAGACGAATGCAGACTTCACAAAGAAATTTCTCAGAATGCTTCTGTCTATTTTTTATGTGAAGACACTTTCTTTTTAAACAGAGGCCTCAATGCATGCTAAATATCCATTTGCAGATTCTGCAAAAATACAGTTTCCACACTTCTCAATCAAAATAGATGTTCAATTCAGTGAGATAAAAGCACACATCACCAATAAGTTTCTCAGAAAGCTTCTGTCTGGTTTTTATGTGAAGATATTACCTATTTCTTTCTAGGCCTCAATGGGCTCACAAATATCCCTTTGCAGATTCTACAAAAAGACTGTTACCAATCTGCTCCATCAAAAGAATCTTTCAACTCTTTGAGATGAATGCACTCATCACAAAGAAGTTTCTCAGAATGCTTCCATCTAGTTTTTATGTGAAGACATTTCATTTTTCACCATTCTCTTTAAAGAGCTTCAAATATCCCTTTGCAGGTTCTACAGAAACACTGTTTCCAAGCATATCAATCAAAAGAAAGGTTCAACTTTGGGAGATGAATGCACACATCAGAAAGAAGTTTCTCAGAAAGCTCCTTTCTAGTTTTTATGTGAAGATGTTTCCTTTTCCACCATAGGCCTCAATGCACACCTAATATGCATTGGCAGATTCTACAAAAAGACTGTTTCCAAACTGCTTAGTTTTTATGTTGTGATATTTCCTTTTACACCACTTGACTCAAAGCACTCCATATATCCATTGGCAGATTCTACAAAAAAACGGTTTCCAAACCACTCAATCAAAAGAAAGTTTCAACTCTGTGAGATGAAAGCACACATCACAAAGAAGTTTCTCAGAAAAATGATTTTTATTATTTATGTGAAAATATTTTCCTTTTCACCATAGGCCACCAAGGGCTCACAAGTATCCCTTTGAAGATTCTACAAAATACTGTTTCCAAACTGCTCAATCAAAAGAAAGTTTCAACTCCATGAGATGAACGCACACATAACAAAGAAGTTTCTCGAAAAGCTGTTGTCTAGTTTTTATGTGAAGATATTTCCTTTTTCACCATAGGCCTCAAAAGGCTCACAAGTATCCCTCTGCAGAATCTGCAAAAAGCATTTTTCCAAGCTACTCAATCAAAAGAAATTTTAAACTCTGTGAGATAAATGCACACATCACAAAGAAGTTTCTTGGAAAGCTTCTGTCTAGTTTTAATGTGAAGATATTTCCTTTTTAACCATAGGACTCAAAACACTGCAAATATCCACTTGCAGATACTACAAAAAGGATGCTTCCAGAGTGCTCAATCAAAAGAAAGATTCAAGTCTGTGAGATAAAAGCACACAACACAAAGAAGTTTCTCTGAAAGTTTCTGTCTAGTTTTTATGTGAAGATAGTTCCTATTTCACCACAGGCCTCAAAGGGCTCACAAATATTCCTTTGCATATTCTACAAAAAGACTGTTTCCAAACTGCCCAATATAAAGAAATGCCCAACTCTGTGAGATGAATGCACACATCAAAAAGAAGTTTCTCAGAATCCTTCTGTCTAGTTTTTATGTGAAGATGTTACTTTTTCACCATGGACCTGAAAACGCTCAGAAATATCACTTTGCAGATTGTACAAAAAGACTATTTCCAAACTTCTCAATGAAAAGAAAGCTTCAACTCTGTGAGATGAAAGCACACATCCCAAACAGGTTTCTCAAAATCTTCTGTCTACTTTTTATATGAAGTTATTTCACTTTTCACCATATTCCTCAAACCTCTTACAAGTATCTCTATGCAGGTTCAACAAAAAGTCTGTTTCCAAAGTGGTGAATTAAAGGAAAGGTTAAATTCTGTGAGATGAATTCACACATCACAAAGAAGTATCTCAGAAAGCTTCTTTCTAGTATTTATTTGAAGATATTTCCTTTTTCACTATAGGCCTCAAAGTGTTCCAAGTATCCCATTGCAGATTCTAAAAAAAAGACTTTCCAAACTGCTTATCAATTGAAAGGTTCAACTTTCTGAGATGAATGTATACATCACAAATAAGTTTCTCAGAGAGCTTCTGTCTAGTTTTTTTGAGAAATTTCTTTTTTCACCATATACCTCAAATTGCTCCATATATCCCTTTGCAGATTCTACAAAAAGACTGTTTCCAAACTTCTCAAACATGAAAAGAAAGTACCAACTCTGGGAGACGAATGTACACATCAAAAAGATGTTACTCAGAAAGGTTATATATACTTTTCATTTAAAGATATTTACTTTTACACCAAAGGTCTCAAATTGCTCCAAATATCCCTTTGCAGATTCTACAAAAAGACTGTTTCCAAACATATCAAGGAAATGAAAGTTTCTACTCTGGGAGATGAAAGCACACATCACAAAGAAGTTTCTCAGAAAGCTTCTGTCTAGTTTTTATGTGAAGATATTTCCTTTTTCAACATAGGACCCAATGAGCTCCACATATCCATTGGCAGATACTAAAAAAAAGGCTGTTTCTTAACTGCTCAATGAAAAGACAGTTTGAACACTCTGAGATGAATGCACACATCACAAAAAATTTTCTTAGACAGCTTCTGTCTAGTTTTCATGTGAAGACATTTCATTTTTCACCAAACACCTCAAAGCACTCCTAATATCCCTTGTCAGATTCTACAAAAAACTGTTTCTAAACTGCTCAATCAAAAGAAAGTTTCAACACTGTGAGATAAATGCACACATTACAAAGAATTTTCTTAGACAGATTCTGTCTACTTTTTATGCGAAGGTATTTCATTTTTCATCATATGCCTCAAAAGTCTCACAAATATTCCATTGCAGATTCTACAAAAAGACGGTTTGCAATGTGCTCAATCAAAAGAAATGTTCAACTCTGGGACATGAGTGCACACATAATGAAGAAGTTTCTCAGAACACTTCTGTCTAGTTTTTATGTCAAGATATTTCTTTTTCACCATAGGCCACAAACCGCTCAGAAATATCACTTTGAAGATTGTAAAAAAAGACTGCTTCCAAACTTCTCAATGAAAAGAAAGGTTCACCTCTGTGACATGAATGCAAAAATCATAAAGAAGTTTCTGAAAAATCTTCTGTATTGTTTTAAAATGAAGATACTTCCTTTTACACCATAGCCCTCAAACCACTCACAAATATCCCTCTGCAAATGTACAAAAGGACTGTTTCCACATGGCTCAATCAAAGGAAAGGTTCAACTCTTTGAGATGAATGCACACATCACAAAGAACTTTCTCAGAAATCTTCTGTCTCGTTTTTATGTGAAGATAATTCCTTTTTCACCATAGGTCTCAAAGCGCTCCAAATATCCATTTGCAGATCCTGCAAAAAGATGGTTTCCAAACTGCTCTATTGAAAGAAAGGTTCAACACTGTGAGATGAAAGCACACATCACAAAGAAGTTTCTCAGAAAGCTCCTCTCTACTTTTTATGTGAAGATATTTCCTTTTTCACCATAGGCCAAAAAGGGCTCAGAAATATCCCTTTGCAGATTCTACAAAACGACTGTTTCCAAACTGCTCAATCAAAAGACAGTTTCAACTCTGTAAGATGAATGCATGCATCACAAAGAAGTTTCTCAGAATGCTTCTGTCTAGTTTTTATGTGAAGATATCTCATTTTTCACCATAAGCCTCAAAGCGCACCAAATATCCATTTGCAGGTTGTACAGAAAGACAGTTTCCAAACTGCTCAATCAAAAGAAAGCATCATCTCTGTGAGTTGAAAGCACACATCAAAAGGAGTTTCTCAGAAAGCTTTTGTCTATTTTTTACGTGAAGACATTTCCTATTTCACCATAGGCCTCAAATTGTTTACAAATAACCCTTTGCAGATTCTACAAAAAGACTCTTTTCAAACTTCTCAATCAAAGTAAAGTTTCAAAACTGTGAGATGAATGCACACATCAAAAGAAGTTTCTCAAAAAACTTCTGTCTAGTTTTTCTGTGAAGATATTTCCTTATTCACCATAAACCTCAAACCACTCACAAATATCCCTCTGCAAATTGTACAAAAAGACTGTTTCCAAAGTGCTCAATCAAAAGAAAAGTTCAACTCTGTGAGATGAATGCATGCATCAAAAAGGAGTTTCTCAGAATGCTTCCATCTAGTTTTTATGTGAAGATAATTCCTTTTCACCGAAGGCCTCAAACAGCTCAGAACTATCCTTTGTCAGATTGTACAAAATGACAGTTTCCAAACTGCTTAGTCAAACGAAAGATTCAAATCTGAGAGATGAATGCACAAACCACAAAAAAGATTCTCAGAAAGCTTCTGTCTAGTTTTTATGTGAAGATATTTCCTTTTTCACCAAAGGCCTCAAACCTCTCACAAACATCCCTCTCAGGAATCTACAAAAAGACTGTTTCCAAACTGCTCAATCAAAAGAAAGATTCAACTCTGTGTGGTGAATTCACATATCACAAAGAACTTTCACACAAACCTTCTGTCTAGTTTTTATGTGAAGATGTTAACATTTCACCACAGGCCTGAAAGTGCTCCAAATATCCATTTGTAGATCCTGCAAAAAGACTGTTTCCAAACTGCTCAATCAAAAGAAAGTTTCAATGCTGTGCATTGAAAGCACACATCCAAAGAAGTTTCTCAGAAAGCTTCTGTATAGTTTTTATGTGAAAATATGTCCTATTTCACCGTAGGCCTCAATGGGCTCACATATATCCCTTAGCAGTTTTTACAACAAACTGTTTCCAAACTGCTCAATCTAAAGAAATTTTCAACTCTGTGAGATGAATGCACACATCCAAAGAAGTTTCTCAGAATGTTCCTGTCTAGTTTTTATGTGAAGATATTTCCATTTTCACCATAGGCCTCAAACCACTTACAAATATCCGTCTGCAAATTCTACAAAAAGACTGTTTCCAAACTGCTCAATCAAAGGATGGTTCAACTCTGTGAGGTGAATGCACACATCACAAAGAAGTTCCTCAGAATACTTCTGTCTAGTTTTTATGTGAAGATATTTCTTTTTCACCATAGGCCTCAAATGACTCAGAAATATCCCTTAGCAGATTATATAAAAAGAGTGCTTCCAAATTGCTCAATGAAAAGAAAGGTTCAACTATGTGAGATGAATGTCAACATCACAAAAATGTTTCTCCTAAAGAGTCTGTGAAGTTTTTATGTGAAGATGTTTGCTTTTTCACCATAAGTCTCAAACCGCTCACAAATATTCCTCAGCAAATTCTACAAACAGAGCATGTCCCAGCTGCTCAATCAAAAGAAAGGTTCAACACTGTGAGATAAATGCACGCATCACAAAGAACTTTCTCAGAAATCTTCTGTTTAGTTTTCATGTGAAGATATTTCCTTTTTCACCGTGGACCTCAAAGTGCTATAAATATCCATTTGCAGTTCCTACAAAAAGACTGTTTCCAAACTGCTCATTCACAAGAAAATTTTGACTCTGTGAGATGAAAGCACACATCACAAGGAAGTTTCTCAGAAAGCTTCTGTCTCGTTTTTATTGGAAGATATTTCCTTTTTCACCATAGCCCTCAAAGCGCTCTAAATATTCATTTGGAGATTCTACAAAAGGATGGTTTCCAATCTGCTCTATCAAAAAAAGTTTAAACTCTGTAGGGTCAAAGCACACATGAAAAATGAATTTCTCAAAAATCTTCTTCTAGTTTTTTTTTGAAGATATTTCCTTTTTCACCATATGTCTCAAATCCCTCCAAATATTCCTTGGCAGATTATACAAAAATACTGTTTCCAAACTGCTCAATGAAAAGAAATTTTCAACTCTCTCAGATGAATGCACACAGCATAAAGAAGTTTCTCAGAAAGATTCTCTCTAGTTTTTATGTTAAGATATTTCTTTTTTCACCATAGGACTCAAAGCACACTAAATATCCATTTGCAGCTGGTACAAAAAGACTGTGTCCAAACTGCTCAATCAAAACCAATGTTCATCTCTGTGAGATGAATGCACACATCACAAAGAAGTTTCTCAGAATGCTTCCATCTAGTTTTTATGTGAAGATGTTTCCCTTTTCAATGTAGGCCTCAATGGGCTTATACACATCCCTCTGGAGATTCTAGAAAAAGACTGTTCCATATTGTTCAACCAAAGGAAAATTTCAACTCTGTGAGATGAAGGCACACATCCCAAAGAAGTTTCTCAGAATGCTTCTGTCTAGTATTTATGTGAAGATATTTCATTTTTCACTGTACGCTTCAAACCGCACACAAATATCCCTTTGTAGATTCTACAAAAAGATGATTTCCAAACTGCTCCATCTAAAGAAAGATTGAACTCTGTTAGGTGAATGCACACATCACAAAGAAATACCTCAAAATGCTTCTGTGCAGCTTTATGTGAAGATAATTCCTTTGTCACCATAGGGCTGAAGTCACTCTCAAATATCCCTTTGCAGATTCTACAAAAAGACTGCCTCTGACTCCTCAATCAAAAGAAAGATTCAACTCTGTGAGATGAATGCAAGCATGAAAGAAGCTTCTCAGAAATCTTCTGCCTTGTTTTTATGATAAGATATTTCCTTTTGCACCATAGGCCTCAAAGTGCTCCAAATATCCCTTTGCAGATACTACAAAAAGACTGTTTCCAAACTGCTCTATCAAAAGAAAGGTTCAACTCTGTGAGATGAATGCACATATCAAAAGGAATTTTCTCAGAATGCTTCTGTCTAGTTTTTATTTGAAGATATTTCCCTTTTCAACATAGGCCTCAATGGGCTCACGTATATCCCTCTGGAGATTCCAGAAAAAGACTGTTTCCAAACTGCTCAATCAAGGGAAAATTTCTACTCTGTATGATGAAGGCACACATCCCAAAGAAGTTTCTCAGAATGCTTCTGTCTAGTATTTATGTGAAGATATTTCCTTTTTCACCGCAGTCTTCAAACCACTCACAAATATCCCTTTGCAGATTCTACAAAAAGACGATTTCCAAACTGCTCCTTCAAAAGAAAGATTGAACTCTGTTAGATGAATGCACACAGCACAAAGAAGTACCTCAAAGTGCTTCTGTCTAGCTTTATGTGAAGATATTTCCTTTGTCACCATAGGGCTGAAACCACTCCCTTTGCAGATTCTACAAAAAGAATGCCTCCGACTGCTCAATCAAAAGAAAGGTTCAACTCTGTGAGATGAATGCTCACATCCAAAGAATTTTCTCAGAAATCTTCTGTCTAGTTTTCTTGTTAAGGTATTTCCTTTTACACCATAGGCCTCAAAGCACTGCAAATATCCCTTTGCAGATACTACAAAAAGACTGTTTCCAAACTGCTCTATCAAAAGGAAGGTTCAACTCTGTGAGATGAATGCACGCTTCACAAGAAAGTTTTTCAGAATGCTTCTGTCTAGTTTTTATTTGAAGTTATTTCCCTTTTCAACATAGGCCTCAATGGGCTTACACATATCCCTCTGGAGATACTAGAAAAAGACCATTTCCAAACTGCTCAATCAAGGGAAAATTTCTACTCTGTGTGATGAAGACACACATCACAAAAAAGTTTCTCAGAATGCTTATTTCTAGTATTTATGTGAAGATATTTCCTTATTCACCACAGGCTTCAAACCACTCACAAATATCCCTTTGCAGATTCTACAAAAAGACGATTTCCAAACTGCTCCTTCAAAAGAAAGATTGAACTCTGTTAGGCGAATGCACACATCACAAAGAAGTACCTCAAAGGGCTTCTGTCTAGCCTTATGTGAAGATATTTCCTTTGTCACCATAGGGCTGAAACCACTCTCAAATATCCCTTTGTAGATTCTACAAAAAGACTGCCTCCAACTGCTCAATCAAAAGAAAGATTCAACTCTGTGAGATGAATGCCCACATCCAAAGAATTTTCTCAGAAATCTTCTGTCTAGTTTTCTTGTTAAGGTATTTCCTTTTACACCATAGGCCTCAAAGCACTGCAAATATCCCTTTGCAAATACTACAAAAAGACTGTTTCCAAACTGCTCTATCAAAAGGAAGGTTCAACTCTGTGAGATGAATGCATGCATCACAAGGAAGTTTCTCAGAATACTTCTGTCTAGTTTTTATTTGAAGATATTTCCCTTTTCAACATAGGCCTCAATGGGTTCACACATATCCCTCTGGAGATACTAGAAAAAGACCATTTCCAAAATGCTCAATCAAGGGAAAATTTCTACTCTGCGTGATGAAGCCACACATCACGAAGAAGTTTCTCAGAATACTTATTTCTAGTATTTATGTGAAGATATTTCCTTTTTCACCACAGGCTTCAAACCACTCACAAATATCCCTTTGCAGATTCTACAAAAAGACGATTTCCAAACTGCTCCTTCTAAAGAAAGATTGAACTCTGTTAGATGAATGCACACATCACAAAGAAGTACCTCAAAATGCTTCTATCTAGCTTTATGTGAAGATATTGCCTTTGTCACCATAGGGCTGAAACCACTCTCAAATATCCCTTTGCAGATTCTACAAAAAGACTGCCTCCAAACTGCTCAATCAAAGGAAAGGTACAACTCTGTGAGATAAATGCCCGCATCCAAAGAATTTTCTCAGAAATCTTCTGTCTAATTTTTATGTTAAGATATTTCCTTTTACACAATAGGCCTCAAAGCGCTGCAAATATCCCTTTGCAGATACTACAAAAAGACTGTTTCCATACTGCTCAATCAAAGGAAAGATTCAACTCTGTGAGTTGAATGCACACATCACAAGGAAGGTTCTCAGAAAGCTTCTGTATAGTTTCTATGTGAAGATATTTCCTTATTAACCATAGGCCTCAAAGTGCTCCAAGTATCCCTTTGCAGATTCTACAAAAAGACTTTTTCCAAACTGATCGATCAAAAGAAAGATTCAACTGTTTTAGTTGAAAGGACACAAAACAGAGAAGTTTCTCAGAAAGCTTCTGTCTAGATTTTATGTGAAGATATTTCCTTTTTCACCATGTGCCTCAAAGGGCTCACAAATATCCATTTGCAGATTCTATAAAAAGACGGTTTCCAAAGTGCTCAATCGAAAGAAAGGTTCAAGTATGCGGTTTGAATACACACATCACAAATAAGTTTCTCAGAATGCTTCTGTCTAGTTTTTATGTGAAGATATTTCCCTTTTTACCATAGGCATTAAAGTGATTACAAATATCCCTTTGCAGATTTCACAAAAAGACTGCTTCCAAACTGCTCAATCAAAAAAAAGGTTGTGTCAGCCAGGCATGGTGACTCAAGCCTGTAGTCCCAGCACTTTGGGAGGCTGAGGCGGGCAGATCACAAGGTCAGGAGATTGAGACCATCCTGGCTAACACGGTGAAACCCCGTCTCTACTAAAAATACAAAAAATTAGCTGGGCGTGGTGGCGGGCACCTGTAGTCCCAGCTGCTTGGGAGGCTGAGGCAGGAGAATGGTGGGAACTTGGGAGGCAGAGCTTGCAGTGAGCCGAGATCATGCCACTGCACTCCAACCTGGGCTACAGAGCCAGACTCCGTCTCAGAAAAAAAAAAAAAAGGTTGCACTCTGTGAGGTGATTGCACACATCACAAAGAAATTTCTCAAAATGCTTCAATCTAGTTTTTATATGAAGTCATTTCCCTTTTCAATATAGGCCCCAAACCGCTCACAAATACCCCTTTGTAGATTCCACAAAAAGTCTCCAAATTGCTCAATTAAAAGAAAGCTTCAAAACTGAGAGATGAATGCACACATAACAAAGAAGTTTCTCAGAAAACTTCTGTCTAGTTTTAATGTGAAGATATTTCCTTATTCACCAGAGGCCACAAAGCGATCCAAATATCACTTTGCAGATTCTACAAAAAAGATTGTTTCCAAACATATCAATCAAAAGGAAGGTTCAACTCTGAGAGATGAAATCACACATCACAAAGAAGTTTCTCAGAAAGCTTCTGTCTAGTTTTATGAGAAGATATATCCTTTTTTACCATAGGTCTCAAAGGGCTCAAAAACACCCATTTGCAGATTCTACAAAAGCACTGTTTCAAAGGATTCAATCAAAAGAATGGTTCAACTCTGTGAGATGAAGGCACAAACCAGAAGAAGTTTCTCAGAAGGCTTCTCTCTGGTATTTATGTGAAGATATTTCCATTTCCACTACAGACCGCACTGGGCTCCATATATCTCTTGGCAGATTTTACAAAAATACTGTTTCCAAACTGCACAATCAAAAGAAAAGCTCAACCCTGTGACATGAATGCACACATCACAAAGAAGTTTCTCAGAAAGCTTCTGTCTAGTTTTTATGTTGAGATATTTCCTTTTTCACCACAGGTCTCAAAGTGCCCCAAGTATCCCTTTGCAGATTCAAGAAAAAGACTGTTTCCAAACTGACCAACCAAAGAAAGGTTCAATCCTCTGAGATGAAATCCCACAACACAGAGAAGTTTCTCAGAAAGCTTCTAATTTTTATGTGAAGCTATTCCCTTTTTCACCATAGGCCTCAAAGGGCTCACAAATATCCCTGTGCAGATTCTACAAAAGGAATGTTTCCAAACTGCTCAATCAAAAGAAAGGCTCATCTCTGTGAGATGAAAGCGCACATCACAAAGAAGTTTCTCAGATGGCTTCTGTCTAGTTTTTATGTGAAGATAGTTCCTTTTCTACTACAGGAAACAATGCGCTCAAAACATCCATTTTTGGATTCTACAAAAGACTGTTTCCAAACTGCTCAATCAAAAGAATGGTTCTAATCTGTGAGATGAAAGCCCACATCAAACAGAGGTTTCTCAGAAAGTTTCTGTCTAGTTTTTATTTAAATATTTTCCTTATTCACCACAGGCCTCAAAGTGCTCCAAATATCCCCTTGGAGATTCTACAAAAAGACTGTTTCCAAACTGCTCAATGAAAAGAAAGGTTCAACTTTGTGAGATGAATGCACATAACAAAAAAGTTTCTGAGAAATTTTTTGTCTCGTTTTTATGTGAAGACATTTCCTTTTTCACTATAGGCCTCAAAGTGAACCAAATATCCATTTGCAGATTCTACAAAAAGACTGCTTCCAAACTGCTCAATCAATAGAAATGTTGAACTCTGTGAGACGAATGCACACATCACAATGAAGTTTCTCCACAAGCTTCTGTCTAGTTTTTATGTGAAGATATTGTTTTCACCATAGGCCTCAAACTGCTCATAAATATCTCTTTGAAGATTCTACAAAAAGACTGTTTCCAAACTGCTTAATCAAAAGATAGGTTCAACTCTCTGAGATGAATGCACACATCACAAAGAAGTTTCTCAGAAAGTTTCTATTTTTTATTTGAGGATATTTCCTTTTTCACCATAGGCCTCAAAGGGCTCCAAGTATCCCTTTGCAGATTCTGTAAAAAGACTGTTTGCAAACTGATCAAACAAAAGAAACTTTCAACAGTGACATGAAAACACACATCACAAAGTATTTTCTCAGAAAACTTCTGTCTAGTTTTTATGTGAAGATATTTCCCTTTTCACCATAGGCCTCAAAAGGCACACAAGTATCCACTTGTAGATTTTACAAAAAGGCTGTTTCCACACTGCTCAATCAAAAGAAAGTTTCATCTCTGTGAGATGAATGCACCCATCAAAAAGAAGTTTCTCAGAATGCTTCTGTCTTGCTTCTATGTAAACGTAATTCCTTTTTCAACACAGTATGCAAACCAATCAAAAATGTCCCTTTGCAGTTTCTACAAACAGAGTGTTTCTAAACTGCTCAATCAACAGAAAGGTTCAACTCTGTGAGATGAATGCACACAACACAAAGAAGTTTCTCAGAAAGGATCTGTCTAGTTTTTATGTTGAGATATTTCCTTTTTCACCTTGGGCCTCAAAGCGCTCCAAATATCCATTTGCAGATTCTACAAAAAGACTGTTTCCAAACTGCTCAATAAAAAGAAAGATTCAACTCTGTGGGATGAAAGCACACATCACAAAGGAGTTTCCCAGAAAGTTTCTGTCCAGTTTTTATGTTGAGATATTTCCTTTTTCACCATAGGCCTCCAAGTGCTCCAAATATCCATTTTCAGATTCTACAAAAAGACTGTCTCCAAGCTGCTCAATGAAAAGTAAGGTTCAACTCTGTGAAATGAAAGCCACATCGCAAAGAATTTTGCCAGAAAGCTTCCGTCTAGTTCTTATATGGAGACATTTCATTTTTCACTGTACGCCTCAAAGCGCTACACATATCCCTCTGAGGAAACTACGAAAAGACTTTTTCCAAACTGCTCAATGAAGGAAACATTGAACTCTTTGAGATGAATGCACACATCATAAAGAAGTTTCTCAGAAAGCTTCTGTCTAGTTTTTATAGGAAGGTATTTCGTTATTCACCATACGCCTCAAAGCGTTACATATATCCATGGCCAGATTCTACAAAAAGACTGTTTCCAAACGACTCAGACAGTAGAAAGGCTCAACTCTGTGAGATGAATGCCCACATAACAAAGATGTTTCTTAAAAACTTTCTGTCTAGTTTTCATGTGAAGATATTTCCTTTTTCACCATAGGCCTCAAACTGCTCAGAAATATGCATTTGCAGATTTAACAAAAGGACTGTTTCCAAACTGCTTAATCAAAAGAAATGTTCAACTCTGTGAGATGAATGCACACATCACAGAGAAGTTTCTCAGAAAGCTTCTGTCTAGTTTTTATTTGAAGATATCTACTTTTTCACCCGACGCCACAAAGTGCTCCAAGTTTCCCTTTGCAGATTCTACAAAAAGACTGTTTCCAAACTGATCAATCAAAAGAAAGGTTCAATTCAGTGAGATGAAATCACACAACACAGAGAAGTTTCTCAGAGGGAGTCTGTCTAGTTTTTATGTGAAGATATTTCTTTTTTGTCATGGGACACAAAGGGCTCACAAATATCCCTTTTTCGGATACTATAAAAAAAACTGTTTACAAACTGCTTAATCCAAAGGAAGGTTGAACTCCGTGAGACGAATGCACTCATCACAAAGTTGTTTGTCAGAAAGATTCGATCTAGTTTTATGAGAGGATATTTCCTTTTTCACCATAGGCCCCAAAGCGGTCAGAAATATCCCTTTGCAGATTCTACAAAACGACTGCATCCAAACTGCTCAATCAAAAGAAACGTTCAACTCTGTGAGATGAATGCAAACATCACAATGTAGTTTCTCAGAATGCTTCTGTCTATTCTTTATGTGAAGGTATTTCCCTTTTCACCATATTCCCCAAACTGCTCACAAATATCCCTTTGAAGATTCTACAAAAAGAAGACTGTGTCCAAGCTGCTCAATCAAAAGAAAGCTTCACTTTGTGAGATGAATGCACACATAACAAATAAGTTTCTTGGAAAACTTCTCTCTACTTTTTATGTGAAGGTATTTCCTTATTAACCACAGACCCCAAAGCACTGCCAATGTCCCCTTGCAGGTTTTACAAAAAGACTGTCTCAAAATTGTCCAATCAAAAGTAAGGTTCAACTCTATGAGATGAAAGTCCACATCCCAAAGAAGTTTCTCAGAAAGCTTCTGTCTAGTTTTTATGTGAATATTTTCCTTATTCACCATAGGCCTCAAAGCGCTCAAAATATCCCTTTGGATATCCTACAAAAAGACTGTTCCCAAACTGCTCAATCAAAAGAAAGGTTCAACTCTGTGAGATGAGTACACTCATCAAAAAGAAGTATCTCAGAAAGATTCTGTCTAGTTTTTATGGGAAGATATTTAGTTTTTCACCATACACCTCAAAGTGCTACACATATCCCAGGCCACATTCAACAAAAAGACAGTTTCCAAAAGACTTAATCTGTAGAAATGTTCAACTCTGTGAGATGAATGCACACATAACAAAGAAATTTCTCAGAAACCTTCTGTCTACTTTTTTTATGAAGATAATTCCCTTTTCACCATATTCCACAAACGGCTCACAAATATCCCTTTGCAGATTCTATAAATGGACTGTCTCTAAACTGCTCCTTCAAAAGAAACCCTCAACTCTGTGAGATGAATGCACACATCACAAAGAAGTTTCTCAGAAGAACTCTGTGTAGTTTTTATGTGAAGATATTTCCTTTTCCACCATAGGCCTCAATGTGCTCCAAATATCCCTTGACAGATTCTACAAAAAAGACTGTTTCCAAACTGCTCTATCAAAAGAAAGTTTTAACTCTATTAGATGAAAGCCCACATCACAAAGAAGTTTCTCAGAAATCTGTCTGGTTTTTATCCGAATATTTTCCTTATTCAACATAGGCCTCAAAGTGCTGCAAATATCCCTTTGGAGATTCCACAAAAAGACCATTTCCAAACTGCTCAATGAAAACAAAGTTTGAACTCTATGAGATAAATATACACATCACAAAGAAGTTTCTCAGAAATATTATGTCTAGTTTTAATGTGAAGATTCTTCTTTTTTCACCATATGCCTCAAAGCGCTACATATATCCCTTGGAAGATTCTGCAAAAGACTGTTTACAAACTGCTCAATCAATAGAAAGTTTCAATTCTTGAGATGAATGCACCTATCATAAAGAAGTTCCTCAGAAAGCTTCTGTCTAAATTTTATCTGAATATTTTCTTTATTCAACATAGGCCTCAAGGTGCTCCAAATATCCCTTTGGAGATTCCACAAAAAGATCATTTCTAAACTGCTCAATGAAAAGAAAGGTTGAACTCTGTGAGATGAATGCACATATCACAAAGAAGTTTCTCAGAAATCTTCTGTTTAGTTTTTATGTGAAGATTCCTCATTTTTCACCATATGCCTCAAAGCACTACATATATCCATTGGCAGATTCTACAAAAGACAGTTTCCAAGCTTCTCAATCAATAGAAAGGTTCAACTCTGTGAGATGAATGCATTCATCACAAAAAAGTTTCTCTTGTTTTTTTAATTTTATTTATTATTTTACTTTAAATTGTAGGGTACATGGGCACAATGTGCAGGTTTGTTACATATGTATACATGTGTCATATTGGTGAGCTGCACCCATTAACTCGTCATTTAGTATTAGTTATATCTCCTAATGTTATCCATCCCCCATCCCTGTGATGTTTCCTTTCCTGTGTCCTTGTGCTCTCGTTGTTCAATTCCCACCTATGAGTGACAACATGCGGTGTTTGATTTTCTGTCCTTGAGATAGTTTGATGAGAATGATGGTTTCCAGCTTCATCCATCTCCCTACAAAGGACATGAACTTATCATTTTTTATGGCTACATAGTTTTCCATGGGTTATATGTGCCACATTTTCTTAATCCAGTCTATCATTGTTGGACATTTAGGTAGCTTCCAAGTCAAAAGTTTCTGTCTAGTTTTTATTTGAAGATGTTTCCTTTTTCACCACAGGCCTCAAAGAGCTCCAAGTATCCCTTTGCAGATACTACAAAAACACTGTTTCAAAACTGATCAACCAAAAGGAAGTTTCAACTCTGTGAGATGAAAGCACACATCACAAACCAGTTTCTCACAAAGCTTCTGTCTAGTTTTTATGTTGAGCTATTTCCTTTTTCACTTTGGGCTTCAAAGCGCTCCAAATATCCATTTGCAGATTCCACAAAGGACTGTTTCCAAACTGCCCAATCAAAACAAAGGTTCAACTCTGTGAGATGAAAGCCCACATCACAAGGAAGTTTCTCAGTAAGTTTCTGTCTAGTTTTTATGTGAATATTTTCCTTATTTAACATAGGCCTCAAAGCACTCAAAATATCCCTTTGGGGATCCTACAAAAAGACTGTTTCCAAACTGCCAAATGAAAAGTAAGGTGGAACTGTGTCAGATGGATGCACACTTCACAAAGAAGTTTCTCAGAAAGCTTCTGTCTAGTTTTTATAGGAAGATATTTCGTTTTTCACCATATGCCTCAAAGCATTCTACATATCCTTTGCCAGATTCTACAAAAAGACTGTTTCCAAACTACGCAATCAATGTAAAAGTTCAACTCTGTGTGATGAATGCACACATCACAAAGAAGTTTCTCAAAACCCTTCTGTCTAGTTTTTATGTGAAGATATGTCCTTTTTCACCACAGGCCTCAAAGGGATCACAAATATCCATTTGCAGATTCTATAAAAAGACTGTTTCCACACTGCTCAATCAAAAGAAAGGTTCAACTCTGTGAAATGAATGCACACATCACAAAGAAGTTTCTCAGAAAGCTTCTGTCTAGTTTTTATGTGAAGATATTTCCTTTTTCAAAATAGGCCTCAAAGGGCTCCAAGTAACACTTTGCAGATTCTACAGAAAGACTGTTTCCAAACTGATAAACCAAAAGAAAGTTTCAATTCTGTGAGATGAAAACACACATCACAAAGAAGTTTCTCAGAACACTCCTGTCTAGTCTTTATGTGAAGACATTTCCATTTTCACCATAGGCCTCAAAGGGCTCACAAGTATCACTTTGCAGATCCTACAAAAAGACTGTTTCCAAAATGCTCAATCAGAAGAAAGTTTCAACTCTGTGAGATGAATGCACACATCACAAAGAAGTTTATCAGAAAGTTTCTGTGTTGTTATGTGAAGATATTTCCTTTTTCAACAAAGGCTCCATACCGCTCACAAATATCCATTTGCAGATACTACAGAAAGACTGTTTGCAAACTGCTCAATGAAAAGAAAGCTTCAACTCCGTGAGATGAATGCAAACATCACAAAGAAGTTTCTCAGAAAACTTCTCTCTATTTTTTATGTGAAGATATTTCCCTATTCACCACAGGCACCAAAGCGCTCCAAATATCACTTTGCAGATACTACAAAAAGAAGATTTCTAAACTGATCAATAAAAGGAAAATTTCAACACTGTGAGATGAAATCACACATTACAAAGAAGTTTCTCAGAAAGCTTCTGTCTAGTTTTTATGTGAAGATATTTCCTTTTTCACCATAGACCTCAAAGGGCTCACAAATATCTCTTTGTAGATTCTACAAAAGGACTGTTTCCAAACTGCTCAATCAAAAGAAAGGTTCAACTCTGTAAGATGAATGCGCACATCACAAAGAAGTTTCTCAAAAGGCTTCTGTCTAGTTGTTATGTGAAGATATTTTCTTTTCTACTACAGGAAACAATGCACTCAAAACATCCATTTTCAGATTCTACAAAAGACTGTTTCCAGACTGCTCAATCAAAAGAAAGGTTCAAATCTGTCAGATGAAAGCCCACATCAAACAGAGGTTTCCCAGAAAGCTTCTGTCTAGCTTTTATGTAAATATTTTCCTTATTCACCATAGGCCTCAAAGTGCTCCAAATATCCCCTTGGAGATTCTATCAAAAGACTGTTTCCAAACTGCTCAATGAAAAGAAAGGTTCAACTATGTGAGATGAATGCACATAACAAAGAAGTTTCTGAGAAAGTTTTTGTCTAGTTTTTATGTGAAGATATTTCCTTTTTCACTATAGGCCTCAAAGTGCACCAAATATCCATTTGCAGATTCTACAGAAAGACTGCTTCCAAACTGCTCAATGAAAAGAAATGTTGAACTCTGTGAGATGAATGCACACATCACAAAGAAGTTTCTCAGAAAGCTTCTGTCTAGTATTCATGTGAAGATATTTCCTTCTTCACCACAGGCCCCAAAGCTCTCAAATATCCCTTTGTAGGCTCTACAAAAGCACTGTCTCCAAACAGCTCAATCTAAAGAATGGTTCAACTCTGTTAGATGAATTCAAACATCACAAAGAGGTTTCTCAGAAAGCTTCTGTCTAGTTTTTAAGTGAAGATATTTCCTTATTCACCATATGCCCAGAACTGCTCCAAATATCACTTTGCAGATTCTGCAAAAAGACTGTTTCCGAAGTAATAAATGAAAATAAAGGTTCAACTCCATGATATAAATGCACACAACACAAAGAAGTTTCTCCAAAATCTTCTGACTAGTTTTTAGGTGAAGATATTTCCTTTTTCACCATAGGCCATGAAGCACTCCAAATATCCATTTGCAGATTCTACAAAAAGACTGTGTCCAAACTGCTCAATGAAAAGAAAGGTTGAACTCTGTGAGATGAAAGCACACATCACAAAGAAGTTTCTCAGCAAGCTTCTGTCTAGTTTTTATGTGCAGATATTTCATTTTTCACCATATGCCTCAAAGCACTACAAATATTCCTTGGCAGATTCTACAAAAAGACTGTTTCCAAACTGCTTAATCAAAGAAAAGGTTCAAGTCTGTGAGATGAAAGCACACATCACAAAGAAGTTTCTCACAAAACTTCTGTCTAGTTTTTATGTGAAGATAATTCATTTTTTACCATAAGCCCCAAACGGCTCAAAAGTATCCCATTGCAGATTCTACAAAAGACTGTTTCCAAAGTGCTCAATAAAAAGAAAGGTTCGAAGCTGTGACATGAATGCACACATCACAAAGAAGTTTCTCAGAATGCTTCTCTCTTCTTTTTATGTGAAGGTATTTCCTTTTTCAACATAGGCCCCAAAACGCTCACAAATATCCCTTTGCAGATTGTACAAAAAGACTGTTTCCAAACTGCTCAAGGAAAAGAAAGGTTCAACTCTGTGAGGTGAATGCACATTACAAAGAACTTTCTCAGAAAGCTTCTGTCTAGTATTTATGTGAAGGTATTTCCCTTTTCACTATATGCCACAAAGTGCTCCAAGTATCCATTTGCAGATTCTACAAAAAGACTGTCTCCAAACTGTGCTATGAAAAGAAAGGTTGAACTCTGTGAGATGAATGCAAACATCACAATGAAGTTTCTCAGAAACCTTCTGTCTAGTTTTTATTTGAAGATACTTTTTATTCACCATATGCCTCAATACACTCCAAATATCCCTCTGCAGACTGTACAAAAACACTGTTTCCAAAGTGCTCAATGAAAAGAAATGTTCAACTCTGGAAGATGAAAGCAAACATCACAAAGAAGTTTCTCAGAGAGCTTCTGTCTAATTTTTATGTGAAGATATTTCCTTTTTCACCATTGGCCACAAAGGGCCCAAAAACATCCCATTGCAGTTTCTACAAAAGGACTGTTTCCAAACTGCTCAGTTAAAAGAAAGTTTCAATGCTGTGAGATGAATGCACACATCACAAAGAAGTTTCTTCGAAAGCTTCTGTCAAATTTTTAAGAGAAGATATTACCTTTTTCACCATAGGCCTCAAAGTGCTCTAAATATCCGTTTGCAGATTCTACAAAAAGACAGTCTCCAAACTGCTGAATGAAAAGAAATGTTCAAATCTGTAAAATGAAAGCCCACATCACAAAGAAGTTTCTCAGAAAGCTTCTGTCTAGTTTTTATGTAAAGATATTTCATTTTTCACCGTGGTATTAAAAGTGCTCCAAATATCCATTTATGGATTCTACAAAAAGACAGTTTCTAAACTTATCAATGAAAAGAATGGTTCAACTCGGTGAGATGAAAGAACACGTCACAAAGAAGTTTCTCAGAAAGCTGCAGTTTTGTTTTTATGTGAAGATATTTCCTTTTTCACCATCGGCCTGAAAGTGCTCCAAATATCTCTTTGCAGATTCTACAAAAAGACTGTCTCCTAACTGCTCAACTGAAAGGAAGGTTCAACTCTTTGAGATGAATGCACACATACCAAAGAAGTGTCTCTGAAAACTTTTGTCTAGTGTTTATGTGAAAACACTTCCTTTCTCACCACAGGCCTAAAACTGCTCACAAATATCCCTTTACAGATTTTACAAAAAGACTTCAAACAGCTCAATCAAAATACAGGTTCAACTCTGTTAGATGAATGCCCATATCACAAAGAAGTTTATCAGAAAACTTCTGTCTAGTTTTTATGTGAAGGTATTTCCTTTTTCACCATAGGCTGAAAAGCACTCACGAATATCCCTTTGCAGATTCTACAAAAAGACTGTTTCCAAACAGGTCAATCAAAAGAAATGTTCACATCTGTGAGATGAATGCACACATCACAAAGAAGTTTCTCAGAATGCTTCTGTCTAGTTTTTATGTGAAGAAATTTCATTCTTCACCTTAGGCCTCAAAGTGCACCAAATGTCCTGTTGCAGATTCCACAAAAATACTGTTTCCAAACTGCTCAATCAAAAGAAAAGTTCAACACTGTGCACTGAATGCACACATCACAAAGAAGTTTCTCAGAAAGCTTCTTTCTAGTTTTTATGTGAAGATATTTCCTTATTCACCTTAGCCCTCAAAGGACTCCAAATATGCCTTTGCAGATTCTACAGACAGACAGTTTCAAAACTGCTAAATCAAAAGGATTCAACTGTGTGAGATGAATAGACACATCAAAAAGTGGTTTCTCCGAAAGATTTTGTCAAGTTTTTATATGAAGATATTTCCTTTTTCACCATAGGTCTCAAAATGCTCTAAATGTCCATTTGCATATTCTACAAAAAGACCGTTTCCAAACTCCTCAATAAAAAGTAAGGCTCAAATCTGTGAGATGAAAGCACATATCACAAATAATTTTGTGAGAAAACTTCTGTCTACTTTTTATGTGAAGATAGATCGTTTTTCACCATAGCCCTCACACCACTCTGAAATATCCCTTTTCAGATTGTACAAAAAGACTGTTTCCAAACTTCTCAATCAAAAGAAAGGTTCAACTCTGTGCGGTGAATGCACACATCACAAAGGCGTTTCTCAAAAAGCATCTGTCTAGTTTTTATGTGTAGATATTTCCTATTACAACATGGGTCTCAAACCGCTCAGAAATATGCCTCTGTAGATTGTACCATAAGACTGTTTCCAAATTGCTCAATCAAAAGAAAGTTTCAACTTTGTGAGATGAATGCACACATCACAAATAAGTTTCTCAGAATGTTTCTTTCTAGTTTTTATGTGAAGATATTTCAATTTTCACCATAGATGTCATACTGCTCACCAATATCTCACTGCAGGTTATAAGAAAAGAGTTTCCAAAATGCTCAATTGAAAGAAAGGTTCAACTCTGTGAGATGAAAGCACACAGCACAAAGAAGTTTCTCAGAAAGCTTCTGACTAGTTCTTATGTGAAGATATTTCCTATTTCACCACAGGCCTCAATGGGCTCACAAATATACATTTGCACGTTCTCCAAAAATACTGTTTGTAAACTGCTCAATCCAAACAAATTTCAACAGTGTGATATGAATGCAAACATCATAAAGAAGTTTCTCAGAATGCTTCTGTCTAGTTTTTATGTGAAGCTATTTCTTTTTCACCATAAGCCTCAAAATGCTCAGAAATATCCCATTGTAGATTTTGCAACTCTGTGAGATGAATGCACACATCAAAAAGATATTTCCCAAAAAGCGTCACTCTACTTTTTATGTGAACATATTTCCTGTTTCACCATAGGCCTCATACCGCTCAGAAACATCCATCTGCATAATCTACAAAAAGACTGATTCCAAACTGTTCAATTAAAAGAAAGGTTCAACTCTGTGAGATGAATGCAAACATCACAAATAAGTTTCTCAGAAAGCTTCTGTCTATTTTTTATGTGAAAATATTTCCTTTTTCACCATAGGCCTCAAAGCACTCCAAATATCCATTTGCAGACTCTATAAAAAGACTGTTTCCAAATTGCTCAATCAAAAGAAAGGTGTAATTCTGTGAGATAAAGGCATGCATCACAAACAATTTTATCAGAAAACTTCTGTATAGTTTTTATGTGCAGATTTTTCAATTTTCACCATAGGTCTCAAACCACAGAAAAATATCCCTATGCGGAAACTACAAAAAGACTGATTCCAAATTGCTCAATCAAAAGAAAGGTTCAACTCTTTGAGATAAATGCACACATCCAAAGAAGTTTCTCAGAAAGCTTCTGTCTAGTTTTTATGTGAAGATATTTCCTTTTTCACCATAGGCCTAAAAACACTCCAATTATCCATTTGCAGATTATACAAAAAGACTGTTTCCAAATTTCTCCATCAAAAGAAAGGTTCAACTCTGTGAAATGAAAGCACACATCACAAAGGAGTTTCTCAGAATGCTTCTGTCTAGTTTCTATGGGAAGATATTTCCCATTTCATCATAATCCTCAAAGGACTCACAAATATCCCTTTGCAGATTCCAGAAAACACTGTTTCCAAACTGCTTAATCAAAAGAAAGGATCAACTGTGTGAGATGAATGCACACGTCAGAAAGCAGTTTCTCATAATGCTTCTGTCTAGTTTTTATGTGAAAATATTTCCATTTTCACCATAGGCCTCAAACTGCTCACAAATATCCCACTGCAGATTATAAAAAAGACTGTTACTAAAATGTTCAATCCAAAGAACGTTTCAACTCTGTGAGATGAATGCACACATCACAAAGAATTTTCTCATAATGCTTCTGTCTAGTTTTTATGTGAAAATATTTATTTTTCACCATAGGCCTCAAACCACTTAAAAATACCCCTCTACACCAACAGTGTAAAAGTGTTCCTATTTCTCCCCATCCTCTCCAGCACCTGTTGTTTCCTGACTTTTTAATGATTGCCATTCTAACTGGTGTGAGATGGTATCTCATCGTGGTTTTGATTTGCATTTCTCTGATGGCTAGTGATGATGAGCATTTTTTCATGTGTTTTTTGGCTGCATAAATGTCTTCTTTTGAGAGGTGTCTGTTCATGTCCTTCGCCCACTTTTTGATGGGGTTGTTTGTTTTTTTCTTGTAAATTTGTTTGAGTTCATTGTAGATTCTGGATATTAGCCCTTTGAACAATGAGATCACATGGACACAGGAAGGGGAATATCACACTCTTGGGACTGTGGTGGGGGGGAGGGGGGAGGGATAGCATTGGAAGATATACCTAATGCTAGATGACGAGTTAGTGGGTGCAGCGCACCAGCATGGCACATGTATACATATGTAACTAACCTGCACAATGTGCACATGTACCCTAAAACTTAAAGTATAATAAAAAAAAAGAAACAAGAAACAAACAAACAAACAAAAAAAATACCCCTCTGCAGAATCTAAAAAAAGACTGTTTCCAAACTGCTAAATCAAAAGAAAGGTTCAACTCTCGGAGATGAATGCACACATCACAAAGAAGTTTGTCAAAAAGTGTCTGTCTAGTTTTTATGTGAATATATTTCCTTTTTCCCCACAGGACTCAAGCTACTCAAAAATATCCCTCTGCAGAAACAACAAAAGGTCTGTTTCAAAACTACTCAATCAAAAGAAAGGTTTAACTCAGTGAGATGAAAGCACACATCACAAAGCAGTTTCCCAGAAAGTTTCTGTCTAGGTTTTATGTGAAGATATTTCCTTTTTCACCATAGGCCTCAAAGCGATGCAAATATCCATTTGCAGATTCTACAAAAAGACTGTTTCCAAACTGCTCAATGAAAAGAAAGGCCCAACTCTGTGAGATGAAAGCACACATCACAAATAAGCTTCTCAGAATGCTTCTGTCTAATTTTCATGTGAAGATATTTCCTTTTTCACCATAGGCCTCAAAGCACTCCAAATATCCATTTGAAGATACTACAAAAAGAGTTTTTCCAAACTGCTCAATCAAATGAAAAGTTAAACTCTGTGAGATGAATGCACACCTCACAAAGAAGTTTCTCAGAATGCCTCTGTCTAGTTTTTATTTGAAGATATTTCCTTTTTCACCACAGGCCTCGAACCGCTCAAAAATATCCCTCTCCACATTATAAAAAAAGACCGTTTCCAATCTGCTCAATCAAAAGAAAAGTTTAACCCTATAAGGTGTAATCACACATCATGAAGAAGTTTCTCAGAAAGCTTCTTTGTAGTTCTTATGTGAAGATATTTCCTATTTAACCATAGGCCTCAATGGGCTCACATATATCCCTCTGCAGATTCTACAAAAGACTGTTTCCAAAGTCCTCAATCAAAAGAAAGTTTCAACACTTTGAGATGAATGCACACATCACAGAGAAGTTTCTCAGAAAGTTTCTGTCTAGTTTTTATGTGAAGATATTTCCTTTTTCACCATAGGTCTCAAAGCTCTCCAAATATCCAATGCATATTCTACCAAAAACTGTTTCCTAACTGCTCAATCAAAAGAAAGGTTCAACTCTGTGAGTTGAAAGCACACATCACACAGAAGTTTGTCAGAAAGCTTCTGTATTGTTTTTATGTGAAGATATTACTTTTTCACCATAGGCTTCAAACTGCTCAGAAATAACCCTTTGGAGATTGTAAAAAAAGTCTTTGTTGAATCTGAAATGGATATTTGTGATCGCTTTGATGCCTATGATGAAAAAGGAAATATCTTCATGTAAAAACGAGACAGAATTTTTCTGAGAAACTTCTTTGTGATGCGTGCATTCATCTCATAGAATTGACACTTTCTTTTGATTGGTCTGCTTGGAAAAAGTCTTTTTGTAGAATCTGCAATGGGATATTTGTGATCACTTTGAGGCCTATGGTGAAAAAGGAAATATATTCATATAAAATCCAGACAGAAGCTTTCTGAGAAACTACTTTGTGATGTGGGCTTTCATATCATAGAGTTGAACCTTTGTATTGAATGATAAGTTTGGATATACTGGTTTTGTAGAATCTCCAATGGGATATACATGAGCGGTTTGAGGCCTAGGGTGAAAAAGGAAATATCTTCAAATAAAACTAGGCAGAAGCTTTCTGAGAAACATCTTTGTGATATGTGCTTTCATCTCACAGAGGTGAAACTTTCTTTTGATTGTGCAGTTTGGAAACAGTCTTTTTGTAGTATCTGCAAAGGGATATTTGTGAGTCCTTTGAGGCCCATGGTGAAATAGGAAATATCTTCACATAGAAACAAGACAGAAGCTTTCTGAGAAACTCCTTTCTAATGTTTGCTTTCATCTCACAGGGTTGAACCTTTCTTTGATTGAGCAGTTTGGAAACAGTTTTTTTGTAGGATCTGCAAAGGGATACTTGGAGAACTTTGAGGACTGTGGTGTGAAAGGAAATATCTTCAAATAAAAACTAGACAGAAGATTTCTGAGAAATTTCTTTGAGATGTGTGCTTTCATCTCACAGAGTTGAATATTTCCTTTGAGCAGTTAGGAAACAGTCTTTTTGTAGTATCTGTAAAGGAATATTTGTGAACTCTTTGAGGTCTATGTTGAAAAAGGCAATAGCTTCACATAAAAACTAGTAAGAAGCATTCTGAGAAACTTCTTTGTGATGTGAGCATTCATCTCACAGAGTTGAACCTGTTTTTGAATGAGCAGTTTGGAAACAGTCTTTTCATATGATCTGCCAAGGGATATTTCTGAGTGGTTTGAAGCCTGTGCTGAAAAAGGAAATATCTCCAAATAAAAACTAGACAGAAGCTTTTTGTGAAACTTCTCTGTGATATGTGCATTCATTTCACACAGTTGAACGTTTCTTTTAATTGAGCAGTTTTGAAACAGTCTTTTTGTATAATCTGTGAAGGAACATTTGGAGCGCATTGAGGCCTATGCTGAAAAAGTAAATATCTTCAACAAAAAAACAGACAGAAGCTTTCTGAGAAAGTTCTTTGGATTTGTGCATTCATGTCACAGATTAGAACCTTTCTTTTGATTGAGCAGTTTTGAAATTGTCTTTTGTAGAATCTGCAAAGGGATATATTTGTGAGTGTTTGAGGCCTATGGTGACAAAGGAAATATCTTCGAATCAAAAGCAGACAGAACATTTCTGAGAAACTTCTTTGTGATGTGTGCATTCATGCCACAGATTAGAACCTTTCTTTGGACTGATCAGCTTTGAAACCATCTACTGTAGAGTCTGCAAAGGGATCCTTGTGAGCACTTTGAGGCCTATAGTGAAAAAGGAAATATCTTCATAGAAAAACTAGACAAAATCATTCTGAGAAACATGTTTGTGATGTGTGCATTCATCTCAACAGATTTGAACATTTCCTTTGATTGAGCAGTTTGAATACAGTCTTTTTGTAGATCTGCAGAGAGATATTTGGAGCCCTTTGAGGCCTACGGTGAAAAAGGAAATATCTTCACATAAAAAATAGACAGAAGCTTTTTGGAAACATCTTTGTGATGTGTGCACTCATCTCAAGGAGTTGAACCCTTATTTTGATTGAGGAGTTTCGAATCACACTTTTTGTAGAATCTGCCAAGTGATATTTGGAGCGCTTTGAGGACTATGGTGGAAAAGGAAATGTCTTCACATAAAAACTAGACAGGAGATTTCTGAGAAAGTTCTTTGTGACGTGTGCTTTCATCTCACAGAATTGAACCTTTCCTTCGATTGAGCAGTTTGGAAACAGTCTTTTTGTAGAATCTGCAAGAGGATATTTGTGAGCCCTTTGAGTCCCATGGTGGAAAAGGAAATATCATCACATAGAAACTAGACAGAAGCTTTCTGAGAAAATTCTTGGTGATGTGTTCTTTCATCTCACTGATTTGAACCTTTATTTTGATTGAGCAGTTTGGAAACAGTCTTTTTGTAGAATCTACAAAGGGATATTTTTGAGCCCTTCAATGCCTATGGTGAAAAAAGAAATATCTTCACATAAAAACTAGACATTAGATTTCTGAGAAACTTCTTTGTGACGTGTGCTTTCATCTCACAGGCTTGAACTTTTCTTTCGATAGAGCAGTTTGGAGACAGTCTTTTTGTAGAAACTTCCAAGGGGTATTTGGAGCACTTTCAGGTGCATGGTGAAAAAGGAAATATCTTCACATAAAAATTAGACAGAAGCTTTCTGAGAATGTTTTTTATGATGAGTGCATTCATCACACAGAGTTGAACTTTTCATTGAAATGAGCAGTTTGGAAACAGTTTTTTATGGAATCTGCAAAGGGATATCTGTGAGCCTTTAAGGCCTACAGTGAAATAAGAAATATATTCACATAAAAACTAGACAGAAACACTCTAAGAAACTGCTTTGCGATGTATGTTTCATCTCACAGAGTTGAACCTTCCTTTTGATTGAGAAGATTAGAGGCAGTCTTTTTGTAGAATATACAGTGGGACATTTGTGAGCAGTTTGAGGCCTATGTTGAAAAAGGAAATATCTTAACATAAAAACTAGACAGAGGCTTTTTGAGAAACTTCTTTGTGATGTGCACATGCATCTCACAGAGTTCAAGCTTTCTTTTGATTGAGCAGTTTAGAAACAATTATTGTAGAATTTGCAAACGGATATTTGTGACCCCTTTGAGGCCTCTGGTGAAATAAGAAATATCTTCACATAAAAACTAGACAGAAGCATTCTGAGAAACTTCTTTGTGATGTGTGCTTTCATCTCACAGAGTTGAGCATTTCTTTTAATTGAGAAGTTTGGAAACAGTGTTTGTGTAGAATACACAAATGGATGTTTGAAGCACTTTGAGGCATATGGTGAAAAAGGAAATATCTTCACATAAAAACTAGACAGAAACTTTTTGGGAAACTGCTTTGTGATGTGTACTTTCACCTCAAACAGTTGAAACTTTCTTTTGATTGAGCAGTTTGGAAACAGTCTTTTGTAGATTCTGCAGAGGGATATTTGTGAGCGGTTTGAGGCCTATGGTGAATATGAAATTATCTTCATTTAAAAACTAGGCAGATGCTTTCTAGAAAGTTCTGTATGATGTGTGCATTCATCTTACAGAGTTGAAACTTTGTTTTTATTGAGCAGCTTATAAACAGTCTTTTTTCATAATCTGCAGAGGAATATTTTTGAGCAGTTTGAGGCCTGTGGTGAAAATGGAAATGTCTTCACATAAAAACTAGACAGAAGCATTCTAAGAAGCTGCTTTGTGATGAGTGCATTCATCTCACAGAGTTGAAACTTTATTTTGATTGAACAGTTCGGAAACAGTTTTTTCTGGAATCTGCAAAGGGATATTTGTGACCCTATTGCATCCTATGGTGAAATAGGAAATATCTTCACATAAAAACTATACAGAAGCTTTCTGAGAAACTTCGTTGGGATGTGTGCATTCATCTCACAGAGTTGAATCTTTCCTTTGATTGAGCAGTTTGGAAACAGTCTTTTTGTAGAATCTGCAATTGGATATTTGGAGTGCTTTGACGCCTCTGGTGAAAAAGGAAATACATTCACATAAAAACTAGACTGAAGGTTTCTGAGAAACTTCTTTGTGATGCGTGCATTCATCTCACAGAGTTGAGCCTTTCTTTTGATTGAACAGTTTGGAAACAGTCTTTTTGTACAATCTGCAAAGGGATATTTCTGAGCAATTTGAGGTCTATAGTGAAAAAGAAACACCTTCACATGAAAATTAGACAGAAGTATTCTGAGAAACTTCTTTGTTATGTGTGCATTCATCTCCCAGAGTTGAATCTTTCCTTTGATTGAGCAGTCTGGACACAGTTCTTTGTGGAATCTGCCAAGGGATATTTTTGAGTCCATTGAGGCCTATGGTAAAAAAGGAAATATCTGGACATAAAAACTAGAAAGAAGCATTCTGAGAAAATTCTTTGTGATTTGTGCTTTCATCTCACAGATTCGAACATTTCTTTTGATTGAGCAGTTTGGAAACAGTCTTTTTGTAGAATCTGCGAGTGTATATTTGGAGCGCTTTGAGGCCTATAGTGAAATAGGAAATATCTTCACATAAAAATTAGACAGAAGGATTCTAAGAAACTGCTTTGTGACGTGTGCATTCATCTCACAAAGCTGAAACTTTCTTTTGTTTCAGCAGTTTGTAAACAGGTCTTTGTAGAATCTACAAAGGGATATTTGTGAACCCATTGAGGCCTATGATAGGAAATATCTTCAAATATGAAATATCTTCAAATAAAAACTAGACATAAGCATTGGGAGAAACATCTTTGTGATGCGTGCTTTAGTCTCACAGACTTGAACCTTTCTTTTGATAGATAAGTTTGGAAACAATCTTTTTGTAGAACTGCAAATGGATATCTGGGGTGCATTGAGGCCTATGGTGAAAAAGGAAACATCTTCATATAAACACTAGACTGAAGCTTTCTGAGAAACTTCTTTGTGATGTTTGCATTCATCTCACAGAGTTGAACTTTTCTTTTAATTGAACAGTTTGGAATCAGTCTTTTTTTAGATTCTGCAGATGGATATTTCTGAGCGGTTTGAGGCCTATGGTAAAACAGGAAATATCTTCACATAAAAAGTAGAAAGAAACATTCTGAGAAACTGCTTTTTGACTTCTACCTTCATCTCACACAGCTGAAACTTTCTTTTGATTGAACAGTATGGAAACAGTCGTTTTATAGAATCGGCAAAGGGATATTTGTGAGCCCATTGAGGCCTATGGGGAAATAGGAAATATCTTCACATAAAAACTAGACAGAAACTTTCTGAGAAACTTCTTTGTGATGTGTGCTTTCATCTCACAGAGATAAAACTTTCTTTTGATTGAGCACTATGGAAACATTCTTTTGTAGATTCTGCAGAGTGATATTTGTGAGCAGTTAGAGGCCTATGGTGAAATAGGGAATATCTTCACATTAAAACTAGACAGATGGTTTTTGAGAAACTTCTTTGTGATGTGTGCGTTCATCTCACAGAGTTGAACCTTTCTTTAGATTGAGCAGTTTGGAAACAGTCTTTTAGTACAATCTGCAAAACAATATTTCTGTGTGGTTTGAGGCCCATGGAGAAATAGGAAATATCTTCGCATGAAAACTAGACAGATGCTTTTTGAGAAACTTCTTTGTGATGTGTGCATTCATCTCACAGAGGTGAACCTTTCTTTTGATTGAGGAATTTGGAAACAGTGTTTTTCTACAATATGAAAAGGGATATTTCTGAGCGATTTGAGGCCTATGGTGAAAAACGAATATCTTCTCATAAAAACTAGACAGAAGTTTTTGACAAAACTCTTTGTGATGTGTGCTTTCATCTCACAGAGTTGAACTTTTCTTTTGATTGATCAGTTTGGAAACAGAATTTTTGTAGAATCTGCAAATGGATATTTGGAGCGTTTTGAAGCCTATGGTGAAAAAGGAAATATCTTCACATAAAAACTAGACAGCAGTTTTCTGAGGAACTTCTTTGTGATGCGTGCATTCATCTAATGGAGTTGACCATTTCTTTGGATTGATCAGTTTGGAAACAGCCTTTTTATGGAATCTGCAAAAGGATATTTGGAGCGCTTTTGTGCCTACAGTAAAAAAGGAAATATCTTCACATAAAAACTAGACTGAAGTTTTCTGAGAAACTTCTTTGTGATGTGTGCATTCATCTCACAGAGTTGAACGATTCTTTTGATTGAGAGGTTAGGAAGCAGACTTTTTGTAGATTCTTCAGAAGTATATTTGTGAGCAGTTTGAGGCCTATGGTGATAAAGGAAATATCTTCACATAAAAACTACACAGAAGCTTTCAGAGAAACTGTTTTGTGATGTGTGCATTCATCTCACAGATTTGAACCTTTCTTTTGATTGAGCAGTTTGGAAACAGACTTTTTGTAGAATTTGCAGAGGGATAATTGTGAGCCTTTTGAGGACTATAGTGAAAATGGAAATATCTTCACATAACAACTAGACACAAGCACTCTGAGAAACTGCTTTGCAATGTGTGCATTCGTCTCACAGAGTTGAACCTCTCTTTTGATAGAGTGGTTTTGGATCACTGTTTTGTAGAATCCGCAAACGGATATTTGCGATCCATTGAGGACTGTTGTAAAATGGGAATTATCATCTCATAAAAGCTAGACAGAAGCATTTAGAGAAACTTCTTTGTGAAGTGTGCATTCATCTCAAAGATTTGAACCTTTCTATTCATTAAGCAGTTTGGAAACAGTGTTTTTGTGGAATATGCTGGGGGATAATTGTGAGTGGTTTGAGGCGTTTGGTGAAAAAGGAAATATCATCACATAAAAACTGGACAGAAACTTTCTGAGAAACCTCTTAGTGTTGTGTGCATTCTTCTCAAATATTTGAACCTTTCTTTTTGATGGAGCAGTTTGGAAACAATCTTTTTGTAGATTCCACAGAGGGATATTTGTGGGCGGTTTGAGGCCTATGGTGAAAAAGGAAATATATTCACATAAACACTAGACAGATGCTTTTTGAGAAACTTCTTTGTGATGTGCGCTTTCATCTGACAGAGTTGAACATTTCTTTGGATTGAGCAGTTTGGAAACAGTCTTTTTGTAGAATCTGCAAAGTTCTATTTCTGAGAGGTTTAAGGCACGTGGTGAAATAGGAAATATCTTCACATAAAAACTAGACAGAAGTTTTCTGAGAAAGTTCTTTGTGATGTGTGATTTCATCTCACATAGTTGAACCTTTCTTTTGACTGAGCAGTTGGGAAACAGTCTTTTTGTAGAATCTGCAAATGGATATTTGGAGCACTTTGAGGCCTCTGGTGAAAAAGGTAATATCTTCACATAAAAACACAACAGAAGATTTCTGAGAAACTTCTTTGTGATGTTTGCTTTCATCTCACGGAGTTGAAACTTTCTTTTGATTGAGCTGTTTGGAAACAGTCTTTTTGTAGAATTTGCAGAGGATATTTGTGAGCTGTTTGAGGCCTATGGTGAAAATGGAAATATCTTCACATGAAAACTAGACAGAAGCTTTCTGAGAAACTTCTTTGTGATGCGTGCATTCAGCTCACAGAGTCGAACTTGTCTTTTGATTGAGCATTTTGGAAACAGTCTTTTTATAATCTGCAGAGAGATATTTGTGAGCGGTTTGAGTCCTATGGTGAAAATGATATATCTTCACATAAAAAATAGACAGAAACATTCTGAGAAACTGCTTTGTGATGTGTACATTCATGTCACACAGTTGAACCTTTCTTTCAACTGAGCAGCTTGGAAACAGTTTATTGTGGAATCTGCAAAGGGATATTAGTGACCCCATTGAGGCCTATGTTGAAATAGGAAATATCTCCAGATTAAAATTAGAGAGAAGCATGCTGAGAAACTGCTTTGTGATGTGTGGTTTCATCTCACACAGTTGAACCTTTCTTTTGATTGAGCAGATTGGAAACAGTTTTTTGTGGAATCTGCAAAGTATATTGTTGAGCCTATTGAGACCTATTAGGTGGTAGGAAGTGTCTTCAAATAGAAACTATATAGAGGCATTCTGAGAAACTTATTTGTGATGTGTGATTTCATCTAACACAGTTGAAACTTTCTTTTGATTGAGCAGTTTTGAAACAGTCTTTTTGTAGAATCTGCAAAAGTGTATTTTGAGCACTTTGAGGCCTGTGGTGAAAAAGGAAATATCTTCACATGAAAACTAAACAGAAGATTTCTGAGAAACTTCTTGGTGATGTTTGCTTTCAGCTCACAGAGTTGAACTTTTCTTTTGATTGAGCAGTTTGGAAACAGTCTTTTTGTGGAATTTTCAGAGGGATATTTGTGAGCTGTTTGAGGCCTCTGGTGAAAATGGAAATATCTTCTCATAAAAACTAGACAGAAGCATTCTGAAGAACTGCTTTGTGATGTGTGCATTTATCTCACAGAGTTGAAGCTTTCTTTTGATTGAGCAGTTTGGAAACAGTTTTTTGTGGAATCTGCAAAGGGATAATTTTGACCCCTTTGAGGCCCATGGTGAAATAAGAAATACCTTCAGATTAAAACGAGACAGAAGCATTCTGAGAAACTTCTTTGTGATGTGTTCTTTCATCTCCCAGAGTTGAAACTTTGTTTTGATTGAGCAGTTTGGAAACAGTTTTTTGTGGAATCTGCAAAGTATATTGTTGAGCCTATTGAGGCTTATGATGAAATAGGAAATATCTTCACATCAAAACAATACAGAAGCATTCTGAGAAACTTATTTCTGATGTGTGCTTTCATTTCACAAAGTTGAACCTTTCTTTTGAGAGAGAAGTTTGGAAAGAATCTTCTTGTAGAATCTGCAAATGGATTTTTGGAGCACATTGAGGCCTATAGTGAAAAAGGAAATATCTTCACATAAAAACTAGACAGAAGCTTTCTCAGAAACTTCTTTGTGATGTCTGCATTCATCTCACAGAGTTGAAAATTTCTTTTGATTGAGCAGCATGGAAGCAGTCTTTTTGAAGTTTCTGCAGAGGGATATTTGTGAGTGGTGTGAGGCCTATGGTGAAAAAGGAAATATCTTCACATAAAAACTAGACTGACGTTTTTTGAGAAACTTCTTTGTCATGTGTTCATTCATCTTACATAGTTGAAACTCTCTTTTGATTGAGTAGTTTAGAAAGAGTCTTTTTATACAATCTGAAACGGGATATTTCAGAGCAGTTTGAGGCCTATGGTGAAAAAGGAAATATCTTCACATAAAAACTATACAGAAGATTTCTGAGAAAATTCTTTGTGAAGAGAGCTTCCATCTCACAGAGTTCACCCTTTCCTTTGATTGAGCAGTTTGGAAACAGTCTTTTTGCGGAATCTGCAGACGGCTACTTGGAGCGCTTTGTGGCCTATGGTAAAAAAGGAAATATCTTCACATAAAAACTAGACAGAATCTTTCTGAGAAACTTCTTTGTGACGTGTGCATTCCTCTCACAGAGTTGACATTTCTTTTGACTGAGCAGTTTGCAAACAGTGTTTTTGTAGTATCTGCAGGAGAATATTTGGAGCACTTTGAGGCCTATGGTGAAAAAGGGAATATCTTCACATAAAAACTAAATAGAAGATTCCTGAGTAACTTCTTTGTGATGTGTGCATTCATCTCACAGAGTTGAACCTTCCTTTTGCTTGATCTGTTTGGAAACAGTCTTTTGTAGAACCTTCAAATGGACATTTGGAGCATTTTGAGGCCTATAGTGAAAAAGGAAATTTCTTCACATAAAAAAATAGACAGAAGATTTCTGAGAAACATCTTTGTGATGTGCACATTCATCTCACAGAGTTGAACCATTCTTTTGATTGAGCAGTTTAGAAAAAGTATTTTGGTGGAATCTGCAAATAGATACTTGGAGCGCTTTGAGGCCTATGGTGAAAAAGGAACTATCTTCACGTAAAAATTAATGGAAGGTTTCTGAGGAACATCGTTGTGATGTGTGCATTCACCTCACAGAGTTGAAACTTTCTTTTCATTAAGCCATTTGGAAAGAGTCTTTTTGTAGAATCTGTAAATGGATATTGGCAGCAATTTGAGGCCTATGGTGAAAAAGAAAATGTCTTCACATAAAAAGCAGACAGAAGATTTCTCAGAAACTTCTTTGTGATGTGTGCATTCACCTCAAAGTGTTGAACCATTCTTTTGATTGAGCAGTTAGGAAACAGTCTTTTGTAGAATCTGCAAATGGATATTTGGAGCACTTTAAGGCCCATGGTGAAAAAGGAGATATCTTCACATAAAAACGAAAGGGAAGATTTGTGAGAAACTTCTTTGTGATGTGTGCATTCATCTCACAGAGATAGAACTTTCTTTCGATTGAGCAGTTTGGAAAAAGTCTTTTTGTGGAATCTGCAAATGGATATTTGGAGTGCTTTCAGGCCTATGGTGAAAAAGGAAATATATTCATATAAAAACTAGACAGAAGCTCTCTGAGAAACTTGTTTGCGATGTGTGCATTCATCTCACAGAGTTGAACCTTTCTTTTTCTTGAGCAGTTTGGAAACAGACTTTTTGTAGAATCTACAACGGGATATTTGTGAGCCTATTGAGGCCTATGGTGAAATAGAAAATATCTTCACATAAAAAGTAGACAGAAACTTTCTGAGAAACATTTTTGTGTCCTTTCATCTCAAACAGCTGAATCTTTCTTTTGATTGAGCAGTTTGGAAACAGTCTTTTGGTAGAATCTGCAAATGGATATTTGGGGTGCTTTGAGGCCTACGTTGAAATAGGAAATATCTTCACATCAAAACTAGACAGAAGCTTTCTGAGAAACTTCACTGGGATGTGTGCTTTCATCTCACAGACTTGAATCTTTCTTTTCATTGAGCAGTTTGGAGACAGTCTTCTTGTAGAATCTGCAAACGGATATTTGTGAGCCCAGCGAGTCTTATGATGAAACAGGCAATATCTTCACATAAAAAGTAGACAGAATGTTTATGAGAAACTTCTTTGTGGTGCGTGCATTCATCTCTCAGAGTGGAATCTTTATTTTGATTGAGCAGTTTGCAAACAGTCTCTTTGTAAAATTTGCAGTAGGATATTTGTGAGTGCTTTGAGGCCTATGTTGAAAATGGAAATATCTTCACATAAAAACTAGAAAGAAGCATTCTGAAAAGCTTCTTTGTGATGTGTGCATTCATCTCACGGAGTTGCACCTTTCTTTTGATAGAGCAGTTTGGAAACTGTTTTTTGTAGAATCTGCAAAGGGATATTTGTGACCCCATTGAGTCCTATGGTGAAATAGGAAACAGCTTCACATAAAAACTATACCGAAGCATTCTGAGAAACTTCTTCATGATGTGTGCTTTCAACTGAAAGAGGTGAAACTTTCTTTTCAATGAGAAGTTTGGAAACGGTCTTTTTGTATAACTTGCAAATTGATATTTGGAGCGATTTGAGGCCTATGTTGAAAAAGGGAATATCTTCACATAGAAACTAGACTGAAGCTTTCTGAGAAACTTCCTTGTCATGTGTGCATTCATCTCACAGATTTGAACCTTTCTGTTGATTGAGCAATGTGGGAACAGTCTTTTTGTAGATTCTGGACAGGGCTATATGTGAGCGGATTGAGGCCTATTGTGAAAAGGAAATATCTTCACATAAATACTAGACAGATGGGTTTTGAGAAACTTCTTTGTGATATGTGCATTCATCTCACAGAGTTGAACCTTTCTTTTGTTGGAGCTTTTTGGAAAGAGTCTTTTAGTACAATCTGCAAAGTGATAATTCTGAGCAGTTTGAGGCCTATGGTAAAAAAGAAATATCTTCATAGAAAAACTAGATGGAAGCTTTCTGAAAAACTTCTTTTTGATGTGTGCTGTCATCTCACAGTGTTGAACCATTCTTTTGATTGAGCAGTTTGGAAAGAGTCTTTTTGTAGAATCTACAAATGAATATTTGGAGCTCCATGATGCCTGTGGTGAAAAAGGAAATATCTTCATATAAAATATAGACAGAAATTTTCTGACAACCTTCTTTGTGATGTGTGCATTCATCTCACAGAGTTGAACCTTTCTTTTGATTGAGCAGTGTGGAGACAGTCGTTTGGAACTATCTGCCAATGGATAGTTTGGGCAATTTGAGTCCTATGATGAAAAAGGAAAAAATATCTTCACATAAAAACTAAACAGAAGCTTTCTGAGAAACTTCTATGCGATTTGTGCTGTCATCTCACATAGTTGAACATTTCTATGGAGTGAGTGGTTTGGAAGCAGTCTTTTTGAAGAATCTGCAAATGGTTATTTGGAGCACTTTGAGGCCTACAGTGAAAAAGGAATCATCTTCAAACGAAAACTAGACAAAAGCTTCTGAGAAACTTCTTTATGATGTGTGCATTCATCTCACAGAGTTGAATCTCTCTTTTGATTGAGCAGTTTGGAAGCAGTCTCTTTGTAGAATTTGCAGAGGGATATTTGAAGCCATTTGAGGCCTATGGTGAAAATGGAAATATCTTCACATAAAAGAAGACAGAAGCATTCTGAGAAACCGTTTTGTGATGTGTGCATGCATCTCACAGGTTGAACATTTCTTTTGATTCCGCAGTTTGGAAACAGTTTTTTCCAGAATCTGTAAAGGGATATTTGTGACCCCATTAAGACCTGTGGTGAAATAGGAAATATCTTCACATAAAACGAGACAGAAGCATTCTGAGAAACTTCTTTGTGATGTGTGCTTTCATCTCACAGAGTTGAATCTTTCTGTTGATTGATCAGTTTGGAAACAGATTTTTTGTAGAATCTGCAAAGGGATATTTGTAAGCCCTTTGAGGCTCATGTTGAAATGAGAAGTATCTTCACAAAAATACTAGACATAATGTTTCTGAGAAACTTATGATGTGTGCTTTCATCTCACATAATTGAACCTTTATTTTAACTGAGCAGCTTGGAAACATTCCTTTTGTAGAATCTGCAAATGGATATTTGGAGCACTTCGAACACTATGGTGAAAAAGGAAATATCTTCACATAAAAACTAGACAGAAGCTTTCTGAGAAGCTTCTTTCTTATGTGTGCATGCATCTCACTGAGGTGAAATTTTATTTTGTTTGAGCTATATGGAAACAGCCTTTTTGTGGAATTTGCAGAGGGATATTTTTGAGTGGTTTCAGAACTATGTTGAAAAAGGAAATATCTTCACATAAAAACTAGACAGAAGCACTCTGAGAAACTTCTCTGTGATGTGTGCACTCAGCTCAAAGACTTGAAACTTTCTTTTGATTGAGCAGTTTGGAAACAGTTTTATGTGGTATCTGCAAAGGGATATTTGTGAGCCCATTGAGGCCTATGGTGAAATAGGAAATATCTTCACATAAAAACTACACAGAAACTTTCTGAGAAACTTCTTTGTGATGTGTGCTTTAATTTCACAGAATTGAACTTTTCTATTGCCTGAGCAGTTTGGAAACAGTCTTTATGTAGAATCTGCAAATTGATATTTGGAGCGCTCTGAGCCCTGTGGTTAAAAAAGGAAATATCTTCATATAAAAACAAGACAGAAGCTTTCTGAGAAACTACTTTTTCATGTGTGCATTCATCTCACAGAGTTGAACCATTGTTTTGATTGAGCTGTTTGCAAACAGTCTTTTTGTAGTTTTTGCAGAGGGATATTTGTGAGCGGTTTTAGTCCTTTGGTGAAAATGCAAATATGTTCATATAAAAACTTGACAGAATAATTCTGAGAAACCACTTTCTGATGTGTGCATTCATCTCACAAAGTTGAACCTTTCTTTTGATTGAGCAGTTTGGAAACACTTTTCTCAAGAATCTGCAAAGAGATATTTGGGAGCCCAATGAGGCCTGTGGCGAAATAGGAAATATCTTCACTAAAAACTAGACAGAAGCATTCTGAGGAACTTCTTTGTCTTGTGTCCTTTCGTCTCACTAAGTTGAAACTTTATTTTGATTGAGAAGTTTGGAAACAGTCTTTTGTGGAATCTGCAATTGTAAGTTTGGAGCTCTTTCAGGCGTATGCTGAAAAAGAAAATATCTTCACATGAAAACTAGACTGAAGCTTTCTGAAAAACTACTCTGTTATGTGGGCATTCATCTGCAGAGTTGAACCTTTCTTTTGATTGAGCAGTTTGCAAACCGTCTTTTTGTACAATCTGCAAAGGGATATTACTGAGAGGTTTGAGGCCCATTGTGAAATAGGAAATATCTTCGCATAAAAATTAGACAGAAGCTTTCTGGGAAACTTCTTTGTCATATCTGCTTCCATCTTACAGAGTTGAACCTTCCTTTTGATTGAGCAGTTTGGAAACAGTCTTTTTGTAGAATCTGCAAATGGATATTTGTAGCAGTTTGAGGCGTATGGTGAAAAAGGAAATATCTTCATATAGAAACTAGAAAGAACCTTTTGAGAAACTTCTTTGTGATGTGTGCATTCATCTCACAGAGTTAAACCTTTCTTTTGATTGAGCAGGTTGGAAACAGTCTTTTGTAGAATTTGCAGAGTGATGTTTGTGAGCGGTTTGAGGCCTATGGTGAAAATGGAAATATCTTCACATAAAAAATAGGCAGAAGAATTTTGAGAAATTGCTTCATGATGTGTGCATTCATCTCACAGAGTTGAATCTTTCTTTTCATTGAGCAGTTTGGAAACAGTCTTTTTGTAGAATCTGCAAATTGATATTTGGAGAGCTTTGAGGCCTGTAGTGAAAAAGGAAATATCTTCACATAAAAACTAGACTGAAGCTTTGTGAGAAACTACTTTGTGATGTGTGCATTCATGTCACAGAGTTGAAACTTTCTTTTGATTGAGCAGTTTGGAAACAGTCTTCTGGTAGATTCCGCTGTGTGATATTTGTCAGTGGTTTGAGGCCTTTGGTGAGAAAGGAAATATCTTCACATAAAAACCAGATAGACGCTTTTTGAGAAACCTCTTTGTAATTTGTTTATTCATCTCACAGAGTTGAAACTTTCTTTTGATTGAGCAGTTTGGAAACCGTCTTTTTGTACAATCTGCAAAGGGATATTTGTGAGCAGTTTGGGGCCTATGTTGAAAAAGGAAATATCTTCACATAAAAACTAGACAGCCGTTTTTGAGAATCTTCTTTGTGATGTGTGCATTCATCTCACAGAGTTCAACATATCCTTTGATTGAGCAGTTAGGAAACAGTCTTTTTGTGTAATCTGAAAAGGGATATTTCTGAGTGGTTTGAGGCCTATGGTGCAAAAGGAATATCTTCACATAAAAACTAGACAGAAGCATTCTGAGAAACTGCTTTGTGATGTGAGCATTCATCTTACATAGCTGACCCTTTCTTTTGGATGAGCAGTTTGGAAACAGTCTTTTTGTATAATCTGAAAAGGGATATTTCTGAGCAGTTTCAGGCCTATGGTGAAAAAAATATATATTCACAAAAAAACCAGACAGAAGCATTCTGAGAAACTGCTTTGTGATGTGAGCATTCATCTTACATAGCTGACCCTTTCTTTTGAATGAACAGTTTGGAAACAGTCTTTTTGTAACATCTGCAAAGGGATATTTCTGAGCGGTTTCAGGCCTATGGTGAAAAAAATATATATATTCACAGAAAAACTAGACAGAACCTTTCTGAGAAACTTCTTTGTGATGTGTGCTTTCATCTCAGAGAGTTGAACCTTTCTTTTGATTGAGCAGTTTGGAAAGTGTCTTTTTATAGAATCTGCAAGTGGATATTTGGAGTGCTTTGAGGCCTACGGTGAAAAAGGAAATATCTTCACATAAAAAATATACAGAAGCTTGGTCAGAAACTTCTTTGTGATGTGTGCATTCATCACACAGAGTTGAACGTTTCTTTTGCTTCAGCACTTTGGAAACTTTCTTTAGAATCTGCAGAGGGATATTTGTGAGCACTTTGAGGCATATGGTGAAAAAGCAAATATCTTCACATAAATACTAGACAGAAGCATTCTGAGAAACTTCTCTGTGATGTGTGATTTCATCTCACCGAGTTGAGCCTTTCTTTTGAGTGAGCAGTTTCAAAACAGTCTTTTTGTAGTATCTGCAGGGGGATATTTTTCAGTGATTTTAGGCCTATGGTGAAAAATGAAATATCTTCAGATAAAAACTAGACAGAAGCATTCTGAGAAACTTCTCTGTGATGTGAGCATTCATTTCACACAGTTGGACTTTCTTTTGTTTGACCACTTTGGAAACAGTCTTTTTGTAGAATCTGCAAACAGATATTTCTTAGCGGTTTGAGGCCTACAGTGAAAATAAATATCTTCACATAAAAACTCGAGAGAAGCTTTCTGAGAAACTTCCTTGTGATGTGTGCATTCATCTCACAGAGTTGAACCTATCCTTTGATTGAGTACTTTGGAAACAGTATTTTTATACAATCTGCAAAAGGATATTTCTGAGCTCTTTGAGGCCTATGGTGAAAAGGAAATATCTTCACATGAAACTAGACAGAATCATTCTGAGAAACTTCTTTGTGATGTGTGCATTCATCTGACACATTTGAAACTTTCTTTTGATTGAGCAGTTTGGAAACAGTCTTTTTGTAGAATCTGCAAGGGAATATTAGTAAACCCCTAGAGGACTATGGTGAAATAGGAAATATCTTCACATAAGAACTAGACAGACGCTTTCTGAGAAACTACATTGTGATGTGTGCCTTCAACTCACAGAGTTGAACATTTCTTTTGATGGAGCAGCTTGGAAACAGTCTTTTTGTAGAATCTGCATATGTATATTTGGAGTGCTTTGAGGCCTATGGTGAAAAAGGAAATAACTTCACATAAAAACTGGACAGAAACTTTCTGAGAAACTTCTTTGTGATGTGTGTTTTCATCTCACAAAGTTGAACCTTTCTTTAGATTGAGCAGTTTGGAAACAGTCTTTTTGTAGAATCTGCAAATGGATATTTGGAGCTTTTTGAGGACTGTGGTGAAAAAGGAAATAACTTCACATAAAAACTAGACAGAAGATTTCTGATAATCATCTTTCTGATGTATGCATTCATCTCACAGATTTGAACATTTCTATTGATTGAACATTATGGAAACAGTCTTTTTTTAGAATCTGCTGACAGATGTTTGTGAGCAGTTTTACACCTACTGTGAAAGAGAAAATATCTTCACATTAAAACTAGGCAGAAGCATTCTGAGAAACTTATTTGTGATGTCTGCATTCATCTCACAGAGTTGAACCTTTCCTTTGGTTGAGCAGTTTGGAAATAGGACTCAAAGCACTCTAAATATCAATTTGTGGATTCTACAAAAAGACTGTTTCCAAAATGTTCTATCAAAAGAAAGGTTCAACTTTGTGAGATGAATAAACACATCACAAAGAAGTTTCTCCAAATACATCTGTCTAGTTTTTATATGAAGATATTTCTTTTTCACCATATGCCCCAAACTATTCAGAAGTATCCATTTGCAGATTGTAAAATAAACTGTTTCTTAGCTGCTCAATGAAAAGAAAGATTCAACTGTGTGAGATGAATTCAAATAACACAAGGAAGTTTCTCAAAATGCTTCTGTCTAGTTCTTATGTGAAGATATATCCATTTTCACCATAGGCCTTAAAGCGCTCCAAATATCCATTGGTAGATTCGGCAAAAAGATTCTTTCAAAACTGCTCAATCAAAAGAAAGGTTCAACTCTGTGAGATGAAAGCACTCACTACATTGAAGTTTCTCTGAAGGCTTCTTTCTGGTTTTTATGTGAAGATATTTCCTATTTCACAACAGACCTCAAAGGGCTCACAAATATCCCTTTGCAGATTCTACAAAAAGACTGTTTCTACACTGGTCAATCAAAATAAAGGTTCAACTCTGACAAGAATGCACACATCACAAAGAAATTTCTCAAAATGCTTCTGTCTAGTTTTTATGTGAAGATATTTCCTTTTCAACGTAGACCTCAAAATGCTCAGAAATATCCCTTTGCCGATTGTACAAAAAGACTGTTTCCAAACTGCTCAGTGAAAAGAACGTTTCCACTCAGTGAGATGAATGGAAACATCACAAAGAAGTTTCTCAATCTTCTCTCTAGTTTTTATAAGAAGATATTTCCTTTTTCACCATAGTCCTCAAACTGCACACAAATATCCCTTTGCAGATTCTACAAAAAACTATTTCTAAACTACTGAATCAAAAGAAAGTTCAACTCTGTGAGATGAATGTGCACATCATAAAGAACTTTCTCAGAATGCCTCTGTCTTGTTTTTATGTGAGGATATCTCCTTTATCACCATAGGCCTCAAACTGCTCACAGCAATCCTTCTGCAGATTATAAAAAAAGACTGTCTCCAAAATGCTCAATCAAAACAAACGTTCAACTCTATGAGGTGAAAGCAGACATCACAAAGAAGTTTCTCAGAATGCTTCTGCCTAGTTTTTATATGAAGATATTTCCTATTTCACCCCAGGACTCAATGGGCTCACAAATATCCATTTGCAGGTTCTACAAAAAGACTGTTTCCCAACTGCTCAATCAAAAGAAACGTTCAACTCTGTGAGATGTATGCACACATCACAAAGAAGTTTCTCAGGAAGTTTCTGTCTAGTTCTTAAATAAAGACATTTCCTTTTTCACCGTAGGCCACATAGTGCAGCAAATACCCATTTGCAGATTCTACAAATGGACTGTTTCCAAACAGTCAATCAAAACAAAACTTCATCACAATGAGATGAAAGCACACTTCACCAAGAAGTTTCTCAGAAACCTGCTGTCTAGTTTTAATGTGAAGATATTTCGTATATCACATATGGCTCAATGGGCTCACAAATATCCCTCTGCAGATTCTACAGAAAGACTGTTTCCAAACTGCTCAAACAAAAGAAATTTTCAACTCTGTGAGATGAATGTACACATCACAAAGATATTTCGCAGAAATCTTCTGTCTAGTTTTTATGGGAAGATATTTGCTTTTTCAACATAGGCCTCAAAATGCTCAAAATATCCATTTGCTGATTCTACAAAAAGACTGTTTCCAAACTGCTCAATCAAAATAAATGTTCAACTCTGTGAGATGAATGCTCACATCCCAAAGAAGTTTCTCAGAAAAATTCTGTCTAGTTTTTAAGTGAAGATATTTCCTATTTCACCACAGGCCTCAAACTGCTCACAAGTATCCCTTTGTAGATCCGACAAACAGACTGTTTCCAAACTGCTCAATCATAAGAAATGTTCAACTCTGTGAGAAGAATGCACACATCACAAAGAAGTTTCTGAGAATGCTTCTGTCTAGTTTTTATGTGAAGATATGTCCTTTCCAATATAGGCCTCAAAACGCTCAGAAATATTCGTTTGCCGATTGTACAAAAAGACGGTTTCCAAACTGCTCAGTAAAAAGAAGGTTTCAACTCAGTGAGGTGAATGCAAAAATCACGAAGAAGTTTCTCAAAAATCTTCTGTCTAGTTTTTATGGGGAGATATTTCCTTTTTCACCATAGTCCTCAAACCACTCCCAAATATCGCTTTGCAGATTCTACACAAAGACTGTTTGCAAACTGAGCAATCAAAAGAAAGGTTCAACCCTGTGGGATGAATGCACACATCAAAAAGAAGTTTCTCAGAAAGCTTCTATTTTTTATGTGAAGATATTTCGTTTTTCAACGTAGGCCTCAAAGTGCTCCAAATATCCATTTGCTGATTTTACAAAAGGACTGTTTCCAAACTGCTCAATCAAAAGAAAGTTTGAACTCTGTGAGATGAATGCTCATTTCCAAAGAAGTTTCTCTGAAAGATTCTGTCTAGTTTTCATATGAAGATATTTTCTATTTCACCATAGGACTCAAACTGCTCACAAATATCCTTTTGCAGATCCTACAAAAAGACTGTTTCCCAACTGCTCAATCATAAGAAAGGTTCAACTCTGTGAGAAGAATGCACACATCACAAAGAACTTTCTCAGAATGCTTCTCTCTAGTTTTTATTTAAAGATATTTCCTTTTCAACATAGGCCTCAAAATGCTCAGGAGTATCCCTTTGCTGATTGTACAAGAAGACTGTTTCCAAACTGCTCAGTGAAAAGAAAGCTTCAACTTCGTGAGATGAATGCAAACATCACAAAGAAGTTTCTCAAAAATCTTCTGTCTAGTTTTTATGGGAAGATATTTCCTTTTTCACCATAAGCCTCAAACCGCTCACAAATATCCCTTTGCAGATTCTACAAAAAGACTGTTTCAAACTACTCAATGAAAAGAAACGTTCAACTCTATCAGATGAAAGCACACATCACAAGGAAGTTTCTCAGAAAGCTTCTCCCTAGTTTTTATATGAAGATATTTTGTATTTCACTGTAGGTCTCAAAGCACTCCAAATATCCATATGCAGATTCTACAAAAAGAATGTTTCCAAACTGCTCAATGACAAGAAAGGTTGAACTCTTTGAGATGAATGCACACTTCACTAAGAAGTTTCTCAGAAAGATTCTGTCTAGTTTTTATGTGAGGATATTTCATTTTCACAATATGCCTCAATGTGGTACAAATGTCCCTTTGGCAGATTCTACAAAAAGTCTGCTTCCAAACTACTCAATCAAAAGATAGGTTCAACTGTTTGAGATGAATGCACACATCAAAAGAAGTTTCTCAAAAATCTTCTGTCTATTTTTTATGTGAAGATATTTCCTTTTTCACCATAGGCCTCCAACCGCTCAAAAATATCCCTTGGCAGATTATAAAAAAGGACTTTTCCAAAATGCTTAATCAAAACAAAGGTTCAACTCTGTGAGAGGAATGCTCACATCACAGAGTTTTCTCGAAAACCTTCTGTCTACTTATTATTTGAAGATATTTACATTTTCACAGTGGGCAACAAAGTCCTCCAATTATCCCTTTGAAGATTCTACAAAAAGAGTGTTTCCAAACTGATCAATCAAAGAAAAGTTCAATTCTGTGAGATGAAAGCACGCAACACAGAGTAGTTTCTCTGAAAGCTTCTTCTACTTTTTATGTGAAGATATTTCCTTTTCCACCATAGGCCTCAATGCGCCCCAAATATCCCTTGGCAGATCCTACAAAAAGGCTGTTTCCAAACTGCTCAATCAAAAAAAAAGCCTCAACTCTGTGAGATGAATGCACACATCTCAAAGCAGTTTCTGAGAAAGCTTTTGTGTAGTTTTTTTGTGGAGATATTTCCTTTCTATCCATGGGCCCCAAATTGCTCTGAATATCAATTTACAGATTCTACAAAAAGACTGTTTCCAAACTGCTCAACCAAAAGAAAGGTTCAACTCTGTGAGATGAAAGCACACATGACAAGGAAGTTTCTCAGAACATTCCTGTCTATTTTTTAAGTGAAGATTTTTCTTATTCAACACGTGCCTCAAAGCACTCCAAATATCCCTTTGCAGATTCTACAAAAAGACTGTTTCCAAACTGCTCAATGAAAAGAAAGATTCAACTCTGTGAGATGAATGCACACATCACAAAGGAGTTTCTCATAAAGCTTCTGTCTAGCTTTTATGTGAAGAATCTTCCTTTTTCACCACAGGCCACAAAGCACTCCAAATATCCATTTGCAGATTCTACAAAAAGACTGTTTGCAAACTGCTCAATGAAAGCAAAAGTTGAACTCTGGGAGATGAATGGACACATCACAAAGAAGTTTCTCAGAAAGGTTTGGTCTAGTTTTTATGTGTAGATATTTTGTTTTTCACCATTCACCCCAAAGAGCAACAAACATCCCTTCGCAAATTCTACAAAAAGACTGTTTCCAAACTGTTCAATCAGATAAAAGGGTCAGCTCTGCGAGAAGAAGCCACACATCACAAGAAGTTTCCCAGAAATCTTCTCTCTAGTTTTTATGTTGAGGTATTTCCCTTTTCACCATTTGTCCCAAAGAGCTCCATATATCCATTCACAGATTCTCAAAAAGACTGTTTCCAAACTGATAAATCAAAAGAAATGTTAAACTCTGTGAGAAGAAATCTCACAACAGAGAGAAGTTCCTCAGAAAACTTCTTTCTAGTGTTTATGTGAAGATATTTCCTTTTTCAACATAGGCCTCAGACCGCTCACAAATATCCCTTTTCAGATTCTACAAAAAGACTGCTTACAAACTCCTCAATCAAGAGAAAGGTTCAACTCTCTGAGATGAATGCACATATCACAAAGAAGTTTCTCAGAATGCTTCTTTCTACTTTTTATGTGAAGCTATTTCCTTTTTAACTATAGGCCCCAAAACCCTCACAGTTATCCCTTTGTAGACTCTACAAAAATACAGCCTCCAAACTCCTCAATCAAAGGAAATCTTTAACTCTGTGAGATGAATGCACACATCACAAAGAATTTTATCAGAATAGTTCTGTCTATATTTCATGTGAATATATTATCTTATTTTCCACAGGCCCCAAAGCACTCTAAATATCCCTTTGCAGATTCCACAAAAAGACTATTTCCAAAATGCTAAATCAAAAGGAAGGTTCAACCCTGTGAGATGAATGCACACATCACAAAAAATTTCTCAGAAAGCTTATGTCTAGTTTTTACATGAAGATATTTCCTTTCTCACGGTAGCCCACAAAGGCCTCACAAATATCCCTTTTCAGATTCTACAAAAACACGGTTATCAAACTGCTCAATCAAAAAACTGCTTCGGCTTTGAAAGACGACTACACACATCACAAAAAGTTGCTCAGCAGGCTTCTGTCTAGTTTTTCTGCGAATATTTTCCTTATTCACTATAGTCCTCAAAGCGCTCCAAGTATCCCCTTGCAGATTCTGCAGAAAGACTGTTTCCAAACTGCTCAATGAAAGGAAAGGTTGAAATCTGTGAGATGAATGCACACATCACAAAGAAGTTATTCGGAAACCTTATGTCTAGTTTTTATGTGAAGCTATTTCCTTTTTCACCATAGGCCTCAAGGTGCTCCAAATATCCATTTGCAGACTCTACAAAAAGACTGTTTCCAAACTGCTCAATGAAAAGAAAGTTTGAACTCTGTGAGATGAATGCACACATCACAAAGAAGTTTCTCAGAAAGTTTCTGTCTAGTTTTTATTTGAAGATATTTTCTTTTTCAACAGAGGCCTCAAAGTGCTCCAATATCCCTTTGCAGATTCTACAAAAGGAGTGTTTCCAAACTGATCTATCAAAAGAAAGGTTCAACACTGTGAGATGAAAGCACACAACACAGACAAGGTTCTCACAAAGCTACTGTCTAGTTTTTATATGAACATATTTCCTTTATCAACATAGACCTCAAAGGACTCCAGAAATATCCATCTGGAGATCTACAGAAAGACTGTTTCCAAGTGCTGAATCAAAAGTAAGGTTCAACTCCTTGAGACTAATGCACACATCACAAAGAATTTTCCCAGAAAGATTCTGTCTATTTTTTATGTGAAGATATTTCCTTTTTAACCATACGCCTCAAACTGCTACAAGTATCCCTTTGCAGATATTTCAAAAAGATGGTTTCAAAACTGCTTAATCAAAACAAAGGTGCAACTCTCTGAGATGAAAGCACACATCACAAAGAAGTTTCTCAGAAAGTCTCTGTCTAGTTTTTATTTGAAGATATTTCCTTTTTCACCACAGGCCTCAAAGTGCTCCAATATCCCTTTGCAGATTCTACAACAAGACTGTTTCCAAACTGATCAATCAAAAGAAAGTTTCAACACTGTGAGATGAAATCACACAACACAGAGAAGTTTCTCAGAAGACTTCTGTCTAGTTTTTATGTGAAGATATTACCTTTTTCACAATAATCCTCAAACCGCTCACAAATATCAATTTGCATATTCTACAAACAGACTGTTTCCAAACTGCTCTATTAAAAGAAAGTTTCAACTCTGTGAGACGAATGCACACATCACAAAGAAGTTTCTCACAAAGTTTCGGTCTAGTTTTAATGTGAAGATATTTCCTTTTTCAACACAGGCCTCAAAGTGATCACAAATATCCCTTCACAGATTCTACAAAAAGACGGTTTCCAAACTGCTCAAAAAAAAGAAAGGTTCAACTCTGTGAGATGAATGCACACATCACAAACAAGTTTCTCAGAATGTTTCTGTGCGAAGATATTTCCTTTTTCACCATAGGCCAAAACCTATGTTTTGTGTGTGAAAACTGCTCACAAACATCCGTTTGCAGATTCTACAAAAAGACTGTCTCCAAACTGCTCAATCGAAAGAAAATTTCAACTCAATGAAGTGAATGCATACATAACAAAGAAGTTTCTCAGAAAACTTCACCTACCTTTATGTGAAGATATTTCCTTATTTATCACAGGCCCCAAAGTGCTCCAAATATCCCTTTGCAGATACTACAAAAACAGTGTTTCCAAACTGATCAATGAAAAGATAGGTTCAACTCTGGGAGATGAATGCACACATCACAAAGAAGTTTCTCAGAAAACTTATGTCTCGTTTTTATGTGAAGGTATTTCCTTTTTCACCATAGGCCCCAAAGCGCTCCAAATATCCCTTGGTAGATTCTTCAAAAAGACTGTTTATGTTTCCAAACTGCTCCATCAAAGGAAGGGTTGAACTCTGTGAGATGAATGCGTACATCACAAAGAGGTTTTTCAGAAAATCTCTGTGTAGTTTTTCATTGAGGATATATCCTTTTACACCATAGGCCTTAAAATGCTCCTATTATCCCTTTGCAGATTCTACAAAAAGACTGTTTCCAAACTGCTCAATCAAAATAAAGGTTGAACTCTGTGAGATGAATGCACTCTTCACAAATAATTTTCTCAGAAAGATTCAGTATAGTTTTTTTGTGAAGATATTTCCTTATTCACCACAGGCCCCAAAGCACTCCAAATACCTTAATGCAGACTCTACAAAAAGACTGTTTCCAAACCGCTCAATGAAAAGGAAGGTTCAACTCTGGGAGATGAATGCATACATCACACAGCAGTTTCCCATAATTCTTCTGTCTACTTTTCCTGTGAAGATATTTCCTTTTCCTTCATAGGCCTCAAAAAGCTCCAAATATTCGTTTACAGATTCTACAAAAAGACTGTTTCCAAACTCCTCAATGAAAAGAAAGGTTTTGAGTGCATTTTGAGTGAAAACCTTTCAAAACCACTCAACTACATGGAAACTGAACAACTTGCTCTGGAAAGACTACTGGATACATAATGAAATGAAGGTAGAAATAAAGATGTTCTTCGAAACCAATGAGAAAAAAGACACAACATACCAGAATCTCTGGGACACATTCAAAGCAGTGTATAGAGGGAAATTTATAGCACTAAATGCCCACAAGAGAAAGCAGAAAAGATCCAAAATTGACACCCTAACATCACAATTAAAAGAACTAGAAAAGCAAGAGCAAACACATTCAAAAGCTAGCAGAAGGCAAGAAGTAACTAAAATCAGAGCAGAACTGAAGGAAATAGAGACAAAAAAGACCCTTCAAAAAATTAATGAATCCAGGAGCTGGTTTTTTGAAAGGATTAACAAAACTGATAGACTGCTAGCAAGACGAATAAAGAAAAAAAGAGAGAAGAATCAAATAGATGCAATAAAAAGTGATAAAGGGGATATCACCACTGATCCCACAGAAATACAAACTACCATCAGAGAATACTACAAACACCTCTACGCAAATAAACTAGAAAATCTAAAAGAAATGGATAAATTCCTCAATGCATACACTCTCCCAAGACTAAACCAAGAAGAAGTTGAATCTCTGAATAGACCAATAACAGAAGCTGAAATTGTGGCAATAATCAATAACTTCCCAACCAAAAACAGTCCAGGACCAGATGGATTCACAGCCAAATTCTACCAGAGGTACAAGGATGAACTGCTACCATTTCTTCGGAAAATATGCCAATCAATAGAAAAATAGGGAATCCTCCATAACTCATTTTAGGAGGCCAGCGTCATCCTGATACCAAAGCCAGGCAGAGACACAACCAAAAAAGAGAATTTTAGACCAATATCCTTGATGAACATTGATGCAAAAATCCTCAATAAAATACTGGCAAACTGAAACCAGCAGCACATCAAAAAGCTTATCCACCATGATCAGGTGGGTTTCATCTCTGGGATGCAAAGCTGGTTCCATATATGCAAATCAATAAATGTAATCCAGCATATAAACAGAACCAAAGACAAAAACCACATGATTATCTCAATAGATGCAGTAAAGGCCTTTGACAAAATTCAACAACTCTGCATGCTAAAAACTCTCAATAAATTAGGTATTGATGGGACATATCTCAAAATAATAAGAGCTATCTATGACAAACCCACAGCCAATATCATACTGAATGGGCAAAAACTGGAAGCATTCCCTTTGAAAATGGACACAAGACAGGGATGCCCTCTCTCACCACTCCTATTCAACAGAGTGTTGGAAGTCCTGGCCAGGGCAATTAGGCAGGAGAAGGAAATAAAAAGGTATTCAACTAGGAAAAGAGGAAGTCAAATTGTCCCTGTTTGCAGATAACATGATTGTATATCTAGAATACCCCATTGTCTCAGCCCAAAATCTCCTTAAGCTAATAAGCAACTTCAGCAAAGTCTCAGGATACAAAATCAATGTACAAAAATCACAAGCATTCTTATACACCAATAACAGACAAACAGAGAGCCAAATCACGAGTGAACTCCCATTCACAATTGCTTCAAAGAGAATAAAATACCTAGGAATCCAACTTACAAGGGACGTGAAGGACCTCTTCAAGGAGAACTACAAACCACTGCTCAATGAAATAAAACAGGATACAAACAAATGGAAGAACATTCCCTGCTCACAGGTAGGAAGAATCAATATCATGAAAATGGCCATAATGCCCAAGGTAACTTATAGATTCAATACCATCCCCATCAAGCTACCAATATGAACAGACACTTCACAGAATTGGAAAAAACTACTTTAAAGTTCATATGGAACCTAAAAAGAGCCCACATCACAAAGTCAATCCTAAGCCAAAAGAACAAAGCTGGAGGCATCACGCTACCTCACTTCAAACTATACTACAAGGCTCCAGTAACTAAAACAGCATGGTACTGGTACCAAAACAGAGATATAGACCAATGGAACAGAACAGAGCCCTCAGAAATAATGCCACATATCTACAACTATCTGATCTTTGACAAACCTGAGAAAAACAAGCAATGGGGAAAGGATTCCCTATTTAATAAATGGTGCTGGGAAAACTGGCTAGCCATATGTAGAAAGCTGAAACTGGATCACTTACTTGCACCTATACAAAAATTAATTCAAGGTGGATTAAAGACTTAAACATTAAACCTAAAACCATAAAAACCCTGGAAGAAAACCTAGGCATTACCATTCAGGACATAAGCATGGGCAAGGACTTCATGTCTAAATCACCAAAAGCAATGTCAACAAAAGCTAAAATTGACACATGGGATCTAATTAAACTAAAGAGCTTCTGCACAGCAAAAGAAAGAAACTACCATCAGAGTGAACAGGCAACCTACAAAATGGGAGAAAATTTTTGCAACCTACTCATCTGACAAAGGGCTAGTATCCAGAATCTACAATGAACTCAAACAAATTTACAAGACAAAAACAAACAACCCCATCAAAAAGTGGACGAAGGATATGAACAGACACTTCTCAAAAGAAGACATTTATGCAGCCAAAAAACACATGAAAAAATGCTCATCATCACTGGCCATCAGAGAAATGCAAATCAAAACCACAATGAGATACCATCTCACACCAGATAGAATGGCAATCATTAAAAAGTCAGGAAACAACAGGTGCTGGAGAGGATGTGGAGAAATAGGAACACTTTTACACTGTTGGTGGGACTGTAAACTAGTTCAACCATTGTGGAAGTCAGTGTGGCGATTCCTCAGGAATCTAGAACTACAAATACCATTTGACCCAGCCATCCCATTACTGGGTATATATCCAAAGGACTATAAATCATGCTGCTATAAAGACACATGCACACGTATGTTTATTGTGGCACTATTCACAATAGCAAAGACTTGGAACCAACCCAAATGTCCAACAATGATAGACTGGATTAAGAAAATGTGGCACATATACACCATGGAATACTATGCAGCCATAAAAAATGATGAGTTCATGTCCTTTGTAGGGACATGGATGAAATTGGAAATCATCATTCTCAGTAAACTATCACAAGGACAAAAAACCAAACACCGCATGTTGTCACTCATAGATGGGAATTGAACAATGAGGACACATGGACACAGGAAGGGGAACTTCACACTCTGGGGACTGTTGTGGGGTGGGGGGAGGGGGGAGGGATAGCATTAGGTGATATACCTAATGCTAAATGATGAGTTAATTGGTGCAGCACACCAGCATGGCACATGTATACATATGTAACTAACCTGCACATTGTGCACATGTACCCTAAAACTTAAAGTATAATAATAATTTTAAAAAAAAGATAAAAAAAGAAAAGAAACGTTGAACTCAGTCAGACGAATGTGCACATCACGAATAAGTTTCTCAGAAAGCTTCTGTCTAGTTTTTATGTGAAGATAATTCCTTTCTCACCAGAGGCCTCGAACTGCTCACAAATATCCCATTGCCAATTCTAGAAAAAGACTCTTTCCAAACTGCATAATCAGAAGAGAGGTTAAACTCCGGGAGCCGAATGCACACATCACAAAGAAGTTTCTCAGAAAGCTTCTGTTTAGTTTCTATCTGAACATATTTCGTTTTTCAACATAGGCTCAAAGGACTCAGAAATATCCCTTTGTAGATTCTACAAAAACACTCTTTCCAACTGCTGAATCAAAAGAAAGTTTTAACTCCTTGAGACTAATGCACACATCACAAAGAATTTTCCCAGAAATATTCTGTCTGTTTTTTATGTGACGATATTTCCTTTTTCACCATAGACCTCAAACTGCTACAAATATCCCTTTGCAGATATTGCAAAAAGACTGTTTCCAAACTGCTTAATCAAAAGAAAGATGCAATTCTCTGAGACGAAAGCACACCTCACAAAGAAGTTTCTCAGAAAGACTCTGTCTAGTTTTCATTTGAAGATATTTCCTTTTCCACCATAGGCCTCAAATTGCTCCAATATCCCTTTGCAGATTCTACAAAAAGAGTTTTTCCAAACTGATCACTCAAAAGAAAGCTTCAACACGGTGAGGTGAAATCCCACAACAGAGAGAAGTTTCTTAGAAAGGTTCTGTCTAGTTTCCATATGAACATATTTCCTTTTTCAACATAGTCCTCAAAGGACTCAGAAATATCCGTTTGTAGATTCCACAAAAAGACTGTTTCCAACCACTGAATCAAAAATGGTTCAACTCCTTGAGACTAATGCACACATCACAAAGAATTTTCCCAGAAAGATTCCATTTTCTATGTGAAGATATTTCCTTTTTCACCATAGTCCCAAAACCACTCACAAATATCCCTTCACAGATTCTACAAAAAGACTGTCTCCAAACTGCTCAAACAAAACAAAGTTTCAACTCAGTGAGATGAATGCACACATAACATAGAAGTTTCTCAGAAAACTTCTGTCTACTTTTAAGTGAAGATAATTCCTTATTCACCACAGGCCCCGAAGCAATCCAAATATGCCTTTGCAGATTCTACATAAACACTGTTTCCAAACTGCTCACTGAAAAGAAAGGTTCAAACCTGGGAGAGGAATGCACACATCACAAAGGAGTTTCTCATAAAGCTTTCTGTCTAGCTTTTATGTGAAGATATTTCCTTTTTCACCATACGCCCCAAATTGCTCAATGTATCCCATTGCAGATCCTACAAAAAGACTGTTTCAAAACTGATCAATCAAAACAAAGGTTCAACTCTGTGAGATGAAAGTACACAACACAGAGAACTTTCTCAAAAACTTTCTGTCTAGATTTTATGTGAAGATATTTCCTTTTTCACCAGAGGCCTCAAACCCCTCACAAATATCTCTCTGCAGATTCTACAAAAAGACGGTTACCAAACTGCTCAGTGAAGAGAAAGGTTCAACTCTGTGAGAGGAAAGCACATATCACAAAGGAGTTTCTCAGAAAGCTTCTGTCTAGTTTGTACGTGAAGTTCTTTCCTTTTTCACCAAAGTCCTCAAAGCGTAACAAGTATCCATTAGCAGATTCTACAAAAAGATTGTTTCACTGCTGCTCAATCAAAAGATTCAACTCTGAGAGATGAGGGTGCACATTACAAAGGAGTTTCTCAGAAAGCTGAAGTCTAGTTTTTATGAGAAGATATTTCATTTTTCACCATAGCCCTCAAAGGGCTCACAATTAACTCATTGCAGATTCTACAGAAAGACTGTTTCCAATCTGCTCAATCAAAAGAAAGTTCAACTGTGTGAGATGAAAGCACACATCACAAAGAAGTTTCTCAGAAATTTTCCGTCTAGCTTTTATGTGAAGATATTTCCATTTCCACCATGGGCCTCAAAGCACTCCAAATATCCATTTGCAGATTTTACAAAAAGACTGTTTCCAAAGTGTTCAGTCAAAAGGAAGGTTGAGCTCTGTGAGATGAATGCACACATTGCAAAGGAGTCTCTCAGAAAGCTTCTGTCTAGTTTTAATGTGAAGATATTTCCTTTTACACCATGGGCCTCAAAGCACTCCAAATATCCATTTGCAGATTCTACAAAAATACTCTTTCCAAAGTGCTCAATCGAAAGAAAGGTTCAACACTGTGAGACGAATGCACACATCACAAAGAAGTTTCTCAAAAATCCCCCATCTAGTTTTTATTTGAAGATATTTCCTTTTTCACCATAGGCCCCAAACCACTCACGATTATCCCTCTGCAAATCCCAGAAAAAGAGTGTTTCCAAACTGCTCAATGAAAAGAAAGGTTCAATTCTGTGAGATGAATGAACACATCACAAATAATTTTCTGAGAATGCTTCTTTCTAGTTTTTATGTGAAGATATTTCCTTTTTAACCATGGGCCACAAAGCTCTCCAAATATCCCTTGGCGGATTCTGCAAATAGGTGTTTCCAAACTGCTCAAATCAAACAATGGTTCAAATCTGTGAGATGAAAGCACACATCACAAAGGCGTTTCTCAGAAAACTTCTGTCTAGTTTTTAGGTGAAGATGTTTCCTATTTCACCATAGGCCTCAATGAGCTCTCAAATATCCTTTTGCAGATTCTACAAAAATACTGTTTACGAACTGCTCAATCCAAAGAAATTTTCAACTCTGTGAGATGAATGCACACATCACAAAGAGGTTTCTCAGAATGCTTCTAATTTTCATATGAAGATATTTCTCTTTCTCCATAGGCCTAAAGTCTTTCAGAAATAGCCCTTTGCAGATTGCACAAAAAGAATATATCCAAACTGCTCAATCAAAAGAAAGGTTCAAGTCTGTGATGTGAATGCACACATCACAGAGAAGTTTCTCAGAAATCTTCTGTCTACTTTTCACGTGAATATATTTCCTTTTTCACCAAAGGGCTCAAAGTGCTCCAAATATCCTTTTGCAGACTCTACAAAAAGACTGTTTCCAAACTGCTCAATGAAAAGGAAGGGTCAAATCTGTGAGGTGAATGCACAAAACACAAAGAAGTTTCTAAGAAAGATTCTGTCTAGTTTTTTTGTGAAGATATTTCCTTTTTCACCACAGGCCTCAAAGTGCTCCAAATACCCATTTGAAGATTCTACAAAAAGACTGTTTCCAAACTGTTCAATCAAAAGAATGGTTCAACTCTGAGAAAAGAAAGCACACATCAGAAAGAAGTTTCTCAGAAAGCTAAAGTCTAGTTTTTATGTGAAGATATTTCATTTTTTACCATGGGCCTCAAAGGGCTCACAAATATCCCTTTGCAGATTCTACAAAAAGATTGTTTCCAAATTGCTCAATGGAAAGAAATGTTCAACAATGGAGATGAAAGCACACATCACAAAATAGTTTCTCAGAAAGTTTCTGTCTACTTTTGATGTGAAGATATTTATTTTTTCACAATACGCCGCAAAGCACTCCAAATATCTATCTGCAGATACTGTAAAAAGACTGTTTCCAAACTGCTCAATCAAAAGAAAGGTTCAACGCTGTGAGATGAATGCACACATCACAAAGAAGTTTCTCAGAATGCTTCTCTCTAGTTTTTATGTGACAATATTTCCTTTTCCACCGTAGTTTTGAAACCACTCACAAATATCCCTCTGCAGTTTCTATAAAAAGACTGTTTCCCTGAACAACCTGCTCCTGAATGACTATTGGGTATATAATGAAATGAAGGCAGAAATAAAGAAGTTCTTTGAAACCAATGAGAAAAAAGACACAACATACCAGAATCCATGGGACACATTCAAAGCAGTGTGTACAGGGAAATTTATAGCACTAAATACCCAAAAGAGAAAGCAGGAAAGATCTAAAATTGACAACCTAACATCACAATTAAAAGGGCTCGAAAAGTAAGGGCAAACACATTCAAAACCTAGCAGAAGGCAAGAAATAACTAAGATCAGAGCAAAACTGAAGGAAATAGAAGCACAAAAAACCCTTCAAAAAATTAATGAATCCAGGAGGTGGTTTTTTGAAAGGATCAACAAAATTGATAGACCACTAGCAAGACTAATAAAAAAGAAAAGAGAGAAGAATAAAATAGACGCAATAAAAATTGATAATGGGGATATCACCACCGATCCCCCAGAAATACATACTGCCATCAGAGAATACTATAAACACCTCTATGCAAATAAACTAGAAAATCTAGAAGAAGTGGATAAATTCCTCCACACATACAACCTCCCAAGACTAAACCAGGAAGAAGTTGAGTCTCTGAATAGACCAATAACAGAAGCTGAAACTGAGGCAATAATCAACATCTTACAAACCATATAAGGTCCAGGACCAGATGGATTCACAGCCGAATTCTACCACAGGTGGAAAGAGGAGCTGGTATCATTCCTTCTGAAACTATACCAATCAATAGAAAAACAGGGAATCCTCCCTAACTCATTTTATGAAGCCAGCATCATCCTTATACCAAAGCCTGGCAGAGACACAACCAAAAAAGAGAATTTTAGACCAATACCCTTGATGAACATCGATGCAAAAATCCTCAATAAAATACTGGCAAACTGAATCCAGCAGCACATCAAAAAGCTTATCCACCATGATCAAGTGGGCTTCACCCCTGGGATGCAAGGCTGGTTCAACCTATGCAAATCAAGAAATGTAATCCAGCATATAAACAGAACCGAAGACAAAAACCACATGATTACCTCAATAGACACAGAAAAGTTCTTTGACAAAATTCAACAATCCTTCATGCTAAAAACTCTCAATAAATTAGGTATTGATGGGACGTATCTCAAAATAATAAGAGCTATCTATGACAAACCCACAGCCAATATCATACTGAATGGGCAAAAACTGGAAGCATTCCCTTTGAAAACGGGCACAAGGCAGGGATTCCCTCTCTCACCACTCCTATTCAACAGAGTGTTGGAAGTTCTGGCTAGGGCAATTAGGCAGGAGAAGGAAATAAAGGGTATTCAATTAGGAAAAGAGGAAGTCAAATTGTCCCTGTTTGCAGATAACATGATTGTATATCTAGAAAACCCCATCGTTTCAGCCCAAAATCTCCTCTAGCTGATCAGCAACTTCAGCAAAGTCTCAGGATACAAAATCAATGTACAAAAATCACAAGCATTCTTATATACCAATAACAGACAAACAGAGAGCCAAATCATGAGTGAACTCCCATTCACAATTGCTTCAAAGAGAATAAAATACTTAGGGATCCAACTTACAAGAGACGTGAAGGACCTCTTCAAGGAGAACTACAAACCACTGCTCAAGGAAATAAAAGAGGATACAAACAAATGGAAGAACATTCCATGCTCATGGGTAGGAAGAATCAATATCGTGAAAATGGCCATACTGCCCAAGGTAATTTACAGATTCAATGTCATCCCCATCAAAGTACCAATGATTTTCTTCACAGACTTGGAAGAAACTACTTTAAACTTCATATGGAACCAAAAAAGAGCCCACATTGCGAAGTCAATCCTAATCCAAAAGAATAAAGCTGGAGGCATCATGCTACCTGACTTCAAACTATACTACAAGGCTCCAGTAACCAAAACAGCATGGTACTGGTACTAAAACAGAGATATAAACCAATGGAACAAAACAGAGGCCTCAGAAATAATGCTGCATATCTACAACTATCTGGTCTTTGACAAACCTGAGAAAAATAAGCAATGGGGAAAGGATTCCTTATTTAATAAATGGTGCTGGGAAAACTGGCTAGCCATATGTAGAAAGTTGAAACTGAATCCCTTCTTTATACCTTACACAAAAATTAATTCAAGATGGATTAAAGACTTAAATGATAGACCTAAAACCATAAAAGCCCTAGAAGAAAACCTAGGCAATACCATTCAGGACATAGGCATGGGCAAGGACTTCGTGTCTAAATCACCAAAAGCAATGACAACAAAAGCCAAAATTGACAAATGGGATCTAATTAAACTAAAGAGACACACCTAACACTAAATGTCGAGTTAATGGGTGTTGCACAACAACATGGTACATGTATACATATGTAACAAACCTGTACGTTGTGCACATGTACCCTAAAATTTAAAGTATAATAATAAAATTAAAAAAAAAAACAAAAGAAAGGTGCAACTCTCTGAGATAAATACACACATCACAAAGAAGTTTCTCAAACAGCTTCTGCCTAGTCTTTATTTGAAGATATTTCCTTTTTAAACATAGGCCTCAAATTGCTCCAAGTATCCCTTTGCAGATACTACAAAAAGACTGCTTCAAAACTGATCAATCAAAAGAAAGGTTCAACTCTGTGACATGAAAGCACACAACATAGAGTAGTTTCTCAGAAACCCTTTGTCTAGTTTTTATGTGAAGATATTTCCTTTTTCAACATAGATCTCAAAGGGCTCAAAAATAGCCCTTTGCAGATTCTACAAAAAGACTGTTTCCAAAATGCTCAACCAAAAGAAAGGTTCAACTCCGTGAGATTAATGGACACATCACAAAGACGTTTCTCAGAAACCTTCTGTCTATTTTTTAGGTGAAGATATTTCCTTTTTCACCATACACCTCAAAGATATCAAAAATATCCCTTTGCAGATACTACAAAAAGACTGCTTCCAAACTGCTCAATCAAAAGAAAAGATCAACTCAGTGAGATGAATGCACACGTCACAAAGAAGTTTCCCAGAATGCTTCTGTCTAGTATTTACCTGAAGATATTTCCTTTTTCACCACATACCTCAAACTGCTCACGAATATCCCTTTGTGGATTTTACAAAAAGACTGTTTCCAAACTCCTCAATCAAAAGAACAGTTCATCTCTGTGAGATGAAGCAGACGTCACAAAGAAGTTTCTCAGAAAGCTTCTGTCTACTTTGTATGTGAAGGTATTTACTTTTTCACCATAGGCCTCAAACTGCTCACATATATCCCTTTGCAGATTCTACAAAAAGACTATTTCCAAACTGCTCAATTAAAAGAAAGGTTCAACTATGTGAGATGAATGCGCACATCACAATGAAGTATGTCAGGAGACTTCTGTCTGGGTTTTATGTGAAGATATTTCCTTTTTCACCATAGGCTTCATACCAATCAAAATTACCCTTTGCAGATTCTACAAACACACTGTTTCCAAACTGTTCCATCAAAAGAAAGGTTCAACTCTGTGAGATGAATGCACACATCACAAGGAAGTTTCTCAGAATGCTTCTGTCTACTTTTTATGTGAAGATATTTCCCTTTACACTATAGGCCTCAAAGTACTCCCAGTATCCGTTTGCAGATTCTACAAAAAAACTGTTTCCAAACTGCTAAATCAAAAGAAATGTTCAACTCTGTGAGATGAAAGCACACATCACAAAGAAATTTCTCAGAAAGCTTATATCTAGTTTTTATGTCAGGATATTTCCTTTTTCATCAAAGGCCTCAAAGTGCTCAGAAATAACCCTTTATGGATTCTACCTAAAGACTATTTCCAAAGAGCTCAAACAAAAGTAAGGTTCAACTCTGTGAGATGAATGCACATATCACAAGGCAGTTTCTCAGAAAACTTATGTCTAGTTTTTATGTGAAGATATTTCCTTTTTCACCGTAGGCCTCAAAACGTCCCACATATTCATTTGCAGGTTGCAAAAAAAGACTGTTTCCAAATTGCTCAATCAAGAGAAAGGTTCATATCTGTGATACTAAATCACACATCACAAAGAAGTTTCTCAGAAAGCTTCTGTCTAGTTTTTATGTGAAGATATTCCCTTTCTCACCATAGGCCTCAAAGTGCTCAAATATATCCCTTTGCAGATTCTGCATAAAGACTGTTTCCAAACTGCTCAATCAAAAGAAAAGTTCAAACCTGTGACATGAATGCACTCATCATAAAGCAGTTTCTCAGAAATCTTCTGTGTAGTTTTTATGTGAAGATATTTCCTTTTTCACCATAGGCCTCAAAACCCTCAAATTATCCATTTGCAGATACTATAAAAGACTGTTTCCAAACTGCTCAATGAAAGAAAAGGTTCAACTCTGTGAGGTGAAGGTACACATCACAAATAAGGTTTTCAGAAATCTTCCTTCTATTTTTTATTTGAAGATATTTCATTTTTCACCATATGTCTCTATTGGCTTACAAATATCCCCTTACAGATTCTACAAAAAGAACGTTTCCAAACAGCTTAATCAAAAGAAAGGTTCAGCTCTGTGAGATGAAAGCAGAGATCACAAAGAAGTTTCTGAGAAAGCTTCTGTCTAGATTTTATGTGAAGATATATCCTTTCTCACCATAGGCCCCAAAGCGCTCAAAAATATCTTCTTGAATATTCTACAAAAAGACCATTTCCAAACTGCTCAATTAAAAGAAAGCTTCAACTCTGTGAGATGAATGCACACATCACAAAGAAGTTTCTCAGAATGTTTCTGTCTATTTTTTATGTGAATAAATTTCCTTTTCCACCATAGGCCTCAAAGTGCTCATAAATATCCCTTTGCAGATTCTGTAAAAAGACTTTTCCCAAACTGCTCAATGAAAAGAAAGTTTCAACTCTGTGCGATGAATACACACATCAGAAATATGTTTCTTGGAAAGCTTCTGTCTAGTCTTTATGTGAAGATATTTCCCTTTTTCACCATAGGCCAAAAAGCGCTCATATACCCCTTGGCAGATTCTACAAAAAGACTGTTTCCATACTGCTCAGTCAAAAGAAATGTTCAACTCTGTGAGATGAATGCACGCATCAAAAAAATGTTTCTCAAAAAGATGTTTCTCGGAATGTTTCTGTCTAGTTTTTATGTGAAGATATTTCCTTTTTCACCATAGGCCTCAATCCACTCACAAATACCCTTTGCAGATTATAGAAACAGACTGTTTCCAAACGGCTCAATCAAAAGAAATGTTCAACTCTGTAAGATGAATGCATATATCATAAAGAAATTTGTCAGAAAACTTCTGTCCAGTTTTTATGTGACGATAATTACTTTCTCAAAATAGGCCTCAAAGCACTCCAAGTGTCCATTCACAAATTCTATAAAAAGACTGTTTCCAAACTGCTCAATCAAAAGAAAGGTTCAAATCTGTGAAGTGAATGCACACATCACAGAGGAGTTTCTCAGAAATCTTCTGTGTAGTTTTAATGTGAAGTTATTTTGTTTTTCACCATATGCCTCAAAGCACTCCCAATATCAATTTGGAGATTTTACAAAAGGCTGTTTCCAAACTGCTCAATCAAAAGGGTGGTTCAACTCTGTGAGATGAAAGCAGATATCACAAAGAAGTTTGACAGAAAACTTCTGTCTAGTTTTTATGTGAAGATATTTCCTTTTTCACCATGGGCCTCAAAAAGCTCACAAATACCCTTTTGCAGATTCTAAAAAAAGACGGTTTCCATACTGCTCAATCAAAAGAAATTTTCAACTCTGTGACATAAATGCACACATCACAAAAAAGTTTCTCTGAATGCTTCTTTCTAGTTTTTATGTGAAGATCTTTCCTTATTCACCATAGTCCACAAATTGCTCCAAATATCTCTTTGCAGATTTTACAAAAAGACTGTTTCCAAACTTCTCAATGAAAGCAAAGGTTCAATTCTGGGAGATGAATTCACACTTCACAAAGAAATTTCTCAGAATGCTTTTGTCTAGCTTTTATTTTAAGCAATTTCCTTTTTCACCATAGGTCTCAATGGGATCACAATTATCCCTTCACAGATTCTAGAAAAAGACTGTTTCCAAACTGCTAAATTAAAAGAAAGGTTCAACTCTGCAAAGTGAATGCACACACCACAAATTTGTTTCTCATAATGCTTCTGTCTAGTTTTCATGTGAAGATATTTCGTTTTTCAACACAGGCCTCACAGTGCTCCAAATATCCACATGCATATTCTAAAAAAAGACTGTTTCCAAACTGCTCAATTAAAGAAAAGTTCAACTCTGTGAGATGAATGCACGGATCACAAAGAAGTATCTCAGAAAGCGTCTGTCTACTTTTTATGTGAAAATATTTCCTTTTTTACCAAAGGCCTAAAATCACTCACAAATATCCTTTTGCAGATTATACAAAAAGATTGTTTCCAAACCACTCAATCAGAAGAAATGTTCATGTCTGTGTGGATGAATGCCAACTTCAAAAAGAAGTTTCTCAGAATGCTTCTGTCTAGTTTTTGTGTGAAGATATTTCCTTTTACACCATAGGCCTCAAACTGCTCAAAATTACCCTTTGCAAATTCTACAAACAGACTGTTTCCAAACTTCTCAATCAAAAGAAAGGTTCAACTCTGTGAGATGAATGCACACATCCAAAGCAGTTTCCCAAATACATTCTGTCTAGCCTTTATGTGAAGATATTTCATTTTTCACCATAGGCTGAAATGGGGCTCACAATAACCCTTTGCAGATTCTACAAAAAACAGTTTCCAAACTGCTCAGTGAAAAGAAATGTTCAACTCTGTGAGATGAATTCACACATGACAAGGAAGTTTCTCAGAAATCTTCTGTCTAGTTTTTTGTGAAGGTATTTCCTTTTTCACCTTTATAGGCCTCAAAGCACTCACAAATATCCCTCTGCAGATTTTAAAAGAACAGAGTTTCTAATCTGCTCAATGAAAAGAAACGTTTACCTCTGTGAGATGAATGCCAACATCCCAAAGCAGTTTCTCAGAAAGCTTCTGTCTAGTATTTATATGAAGATATTTCCTTTTCCACCATAGGCCTGAAAGGGCCTGCAAATATCCCTTTGCACATTCTACAAAAAGACTGTTTCCAGACAGCTCAATCAAAGAAAGGTTCAACTCTGTGAGATGAATGCAGTCATCAAAAGGAAGATTATAAGAAAGATTTTGTTTAGTTTTTATGTGAAGATATTTCCCTTTTCACCATTGGCCTCAACGTGCTTCTATATATCCCTTTGCAGATTCTACAAGAATAGAGCGTACAATCTGCTCAATGAAAAGAAACCTTTACCTCTGTGAGATGAATGCACTCATCACAAAGCAGCTTCTCAGAAAGCTTTTGTCTAGTTTTTATGTGAAGCTATTTCCTATTTCACCATAGGCCTCAAAAGGCTCACTAATACCCTTTGCAGATTCTACAAAAAGACTGTTTCCATACAGCCCAATCAAAAGTAAGGTTCAGATCTGTGAGATGAATGCACACATCACAAAAAAAGTTTCTCAGGAAACTTCTATCTAGTTTTTATGTGAAAATATTTACTTTTTCACAATAGGCCTCAATTGGCTCAAAAATGTCCATTTGCAGATTCTATAAAAAGACTGTTTCCAAACTGCTCAATCAAAAGAAAGGTTTAACTCAGTGAGATGAATGCACACATCACAAAGAAGTTTCTCAGAAAGCTTCTGTCTAGTTTTTATGTGAAGATATTTCCTTTTTCACCATAGGCCTCAAATGGCTCACAAATACACCTTGTCAGATTCTATAAAAACACTGTTCCAAACTGCTCAATCAAAAGAAAGTTTCAACTCCATGAGATGAATGCACACATCACAAAGAAGTTTCTCAGGAAGCTTCTGTCTCATTTCATGTGAAGGCATTTCCTTTTATACCATAGGCCACAGAGCAAACACAAATATCCCATTGCAGATTCTACAAAGAGACTGCTTCCAAACTGCTCAATCAAAAGAAAGGTTCAACCATGTGAGATGCATGCACACATCACAAAGAAGTTTCTCAGGATGCTTATGTCTAGTTTTTATGTGACCATATTTCCTTTTTCACCGTAGCCCTCAAAGTGCTCACAAATATGACTTTGCAGATTCTACGAGAACAGAGTACTCAATCTGCTTAATGAAAACAAACGTTTACATAGGTGAGATGAATGCACTCATCAGAAAGCAGTTTCATGGAAACCTTCTGTCTAGTTTTTCTGTGAAGACAGTTCTTTTTCACCATAGGCCTTAAAGGGATCACAAATATCAATTTGCAGATTCTACAAAAAGACTGGTTCCAAACTGCTCCATCAAAAGAAAGGTTCAACTCTGGGACATGAATTCACACATAACAAAGAAGTTTCTCAGAAAGATTCTGACTAGTTTTTATGTGAAGATGTTTCCTTTTTCACCATAGGCCAAAAGCACTCACAAATATCCCTTTGCAGATTCTACAAGAACAGAGTTTCCAATCTGCTCAATGAAAAGAAACGTTTACATCTGTGAGATGAATGCACACATCACAAAGCAGTTTCTCAGAAACTTTCTGTCTAGTTTTTATGTGAAGATGTTTCCTTTTTCACGATAGGCCTAAAAGTTCTCACAAATATCCCTTTGCAGATTCTATAAAAAGACTGTTTCCAAACTACTAAATTAAAACGAAAGTTCACCTCTATGAGATGAATGTACACATCACAGAGAAGTTTCTCAGAAAGCTTCTGTCTAGTTTTTATGTGAAGATATTTCCTTTTTCTCAATAGGCATCAAACAGCTCACAACTATCCCTTTGCAGATTCTACAGAAAGACTGTTTCCTGATTGCTCAATGAAAAGAAAGTTTCAATTCTGTGAGATGAATGCACACATCACATGGAAGTTTCTCAGAAAGCATCTGTCTAGTTTTTATGTGAAGATTTTTCCCTTTTCAACAGAGACCTCAAAGTGCTCACAAATATTTCTTTGCAGATTCTACAAAAACAGAGTTTCCAATCTACTCAATGAAAAGAAACGTTTCATGATGTGAGATGAATGCATACTTCACAAAGCATCTTCTCAGAAAGGTTCTGTCTATTTTTTATGTGAAGATATTTCATTTTACACCATAGGCCTCGAAGGGCTCACAAATATCCTTTTGCAGTCTCTACAAAAAGACTGGTTCCCAACTGCTGATTCAAAAGAAATGTTCAACTCTGTGAGATGAATGCACATATGACAAAGAAGATTCTCAGAAAGCTTCTACCTAGTTTTTATGTGAAGATATTTCCTTTTACACCATGGGCCTCTAAGCACTCAGAAATATCCCATGGCAGATTTTACAAAAAGACTACTTCTAAACTGCTCACTAAAAAGAAAGTTTCACCTCTTTGAGATGAATGGACCCATCAAAAAGAAGTTTCTCAAAAAGCTTCTGTCTAGTTTTTATATGAAGATATTTCCTTTTTCACATGGGCCTCAAACCACTCACAAATATCCCTTTGCAGATTCTACAAAAAGACTGCTTCCAAACTGCTCAATAAATGGAAAAGTACAACTCTGTGAGATGAATACACACATCACAAAGTAGTTTCTCAGAATAGTTCTGTCTAGTTTTTATGTGATGATATATCCTTTTTCACCATAGGCCTCAAAGTGCTCAAAAATATCCCTTTGCAGATTCTGCAAAAAGACTGTTTCCATACCTCTCAATGAAAAGAAAGCTTCAAATATGTGAGATGGATGCACACATCACAGAGAAGTCTCTCAAAAAGCTTCTTTCTAGTTTTTATGTGAAGATATTTCCTTTTTCTCAATAGGACTCAAACTGCTCACAACTGTCCCTTTGTAGATTCTACAGAAAGATGGTTTCCAAACTCCTCAATCAAAAGAAAGGTTCCATCCTGTGAGATGAATGCACACATCACAGGGAAGTTTCTCAGAAAGCATCTGTTTAGTTATTATGTGAAGATGTTCCATTTTTCACTGGAGGCCTCAAAGCGCGCAAAAATATTCCTTTGCAGATTCTACAAGAACAGAGTTTCCAATCTGCTTAATGAAAAGAAACGTTTACATCTGTGAGATGAATGCATACATCACAAAGCAGTTCCCCAGAACCATTCTGTCTAATTTTTATGTGAAGATATTTCCTTTTTCACCATAGGACTCAAAGGGCTCACAAATATCCCTTTGAAAACCCTACAAAAAGACTGATTCCAAACTGCTCAATCAAATGAAAGTTTCAAATCTGTGAGGTGAATGCACTCATCATAAAGAAGTTTTTCAAAAAGCTTCCATCTAGTTTTTATGTGAACTTATTTCCTTTTTCACCGTAGGCTTTAAACCTCTCACAAATATCCCATTGCAGATTCTACAAAAAGACTGTTTTCAAACTGCTCAATCAAAAGATAGTTTCACCTCTGTGAGATGAATACACACATCACAAAGAAGTTTCTCTGAAAGCTTCTGTCTGGTTTGTATGTGAGGATATTTCCTTTTTCTCCGTAGGCCTCAAACAGCTCACGAGTATCCCTTTGCAGATTTTGCTAAAAGACTCTTTCCAAACTGCTCAATCAAAATAAAGTTTCAACTCTGTGAGATGCATGTGCACATCACAAAGAAGTTTCTCAGAAAGCTTATGTCCAATTTTTATGTGAAGATATTTCCTTTTTCACCATGGGCCTCAAACTGCACGAAACTATCCCTTTGCATATTCTAGGAAAAGATTGTTTCCAATCTTCTCAATCAAAAGAAAGGTTCACCTGTGTGAGATGAATGCACACATCACAAATAAGTTTCTCGGAAAGCTTCTGTCCAGTTTTTAGTTGAAGATATTTCCTTTTTCACCATAGGCCTCAAAGCACTCAGAAATATCCTTTTGCAGATTCTACAAGAACAGTTTCCAATCTGCTCAATGAAATGAAATTTTTGTCTGTGAGATAAATGCACACATCACAAAGCATTTTCTCAGAAGCTTTCTGTGTAGTTTTTATGTGAAAATATTTCCTTTTTCACCATTGGCTTCAAAGGGCTCCCAAATATCCCTTTGCAGATTCTTCAAAAGGACTTTTTCCAAACTGCTCAATCAAAACATAGGTTCAACACTGTGAGATGAATGAACAAATCACAAAGAGTTTTCCCAGAAAACTTCAGTCTAGTTTTTATGTGAAGACATTTTCTTTCTCATAATAGGCCTGAAAGGGCTCACAAATATCCCTTTGCAGGTTCTATAAAAAGACTTTTTCCAAACTGCTCAATGAAAATAAATGTTCCAATCTGTGAGATGAATGTACACATCACAAAGAATTTTCTAACAAAGCTTCTTTCTAGTTTTTATGAGAAGATATTTCCTTTTTCACCTTAGGCTTCACACCACTCAAAAATACCCATTGCAGATTACACAAAACGACTGTTTCCTACTTGCTCAGTCAAAAGAAAGTTTCAACACTGTGAGGTGAACGCACACATGACAAAGATGTTTCTCAGAAAGCTTCTGTCTAGCTTTTACGTGAATATGTTTCCTTTTTCACCATCGGCCTCAAACCGCTCACAAATATTCTTTTGTGGATTCTACAAGAATATTGTTTCCAAACTGCTCAATCAAAACGAAGTTTCAACTCTGTGAGAAGAATGCCCACATCACAAAGAAGTTTCTCAGTAAGGTTCTGTCTACTTTTTATGTGAAGATATTTATTTTTCACCAAACGCCTCGAAGGTCTCACAAATATACCTTTGCAGACTCTACAAAAAGACTGCTTCCAAACTGCTCAATCAAAAGAAAGGTTCAAATCTGTCAGATAAATGCTCATATGACAAAGAAGATTCTCAGAAAGCTTCTGCCTAATTTTTATGTGAAGATATTTCCTTTTTCACCATTGGCCTCAAAGCACTCACAAATATTCCATTGCAGAATCCACAAATAGATTGTTTCCACCCTGACCAATCAAAAGAAATGTTGAACTGTGTAAGATGAATGCACACATCACAAAGAAGTTTCTCAGAAAGTTTCTGCCTAGTTTTTATTTGAAGATATTTCCTTTTTCACCTTGGGCCTCAAACCACTCAAAAATATCCCTTTGCACTTTCTACAAAAAGACTATTTCCAAGCTGCTCAATCAAAAGCAATGTTGAATTCTGTGAGATGAATGCACACACCCCAAAGAAGTTTCTCAGAATGCTTCTGTGTAGTTTTTTTGTGATGATATATCCTTTTTCAGCATAGGCCTCAAATCGCTCACAAATATCAGTTTGAAGATGCTGCAAAAAGACTGTTTCCAATCTGCTCAATCAAAAGAAAGCTTCAAATCTGTGAGATGAATGCACACATCACAGAGAAGTTTCTCAGAAAGCTTCTGTCTAGTTTTTATGTAAATATATTTCCTTTTTCACCTTTGGCCTCAAAGCACTCAAAAATATCCCTTTGAATATTCTACAAAAAGACTCTTTCCAAACTGCTCAATCAAAAGAAAGATTGAACTCTGTGAGATGGATGGACACAACACAAAGGAGTTTCTCAGAAAGCTTCTGTCTAGTTTTTATGTGAAGATATTTCCTTTTTCACCATAGGCCTCAAAATGCTCACAAATATCTTTTTGCAGATTCTACAAGATCAGATTTTCCAATCTTCTCAATGAAAGTAAACATTTACATCTGTGAGATGAATGCACACATCACAAAGCAGTTACATAGAAACATTCTGTCTCATTTTATGTGAAGATATTTCCTTTTTCTCCATAGGCCTCAAAGGGCTCAAAATATCCCTTTGCAGACTCTACAAAAAGACTGGTTCCAAACTGCTCAATCAAATGAAAGGTTCAACTCTGTGGATGAATGCGCACATCACAAACAACTTTCTCAGAAAGCTTCTGTCTAATTTTTATGTGAAGATATTTCCTTTTTCTTCACAGGCTCAAATCACTCACAAATATCCCTTTGCAGATTCCACAGAAAGTCTGTTTCCAAAGTGCTCAATCAAACGAAAGGTTCAACTCTGAGATGAATGCACACATCACAAAGAAGTTTTTCAGTAATCTTCTGCCTCCTTTTTATGTGAAGATATTTCCTTTTTCGCTATATGCCTCAAACGGCTCACAAATATCCCTTTGCAGATTTAACAGAAAGACTGCTTCCAAACTGCTCAATCAAAAGAAATGTTCAACTCCATGAGATGAATGGATGCATAACAAAGAACTTTCTCAGTAAGCTTCAGTCTAGTTTTCGTGTGAATATATTTCCTTTTTCACCATTGGCATCAAACTGCTCACAAATATCGCTTTGAAGATTCTACAGAAAGACTCTTTCCAAACTGCTCATTGAGAAGAAAGGTTCAACTCTGTGAGATGAATGCGCACATCACAAAGAAGTTTCTCAGAATGCTTCTGTCTAGTTCTTATGTGAATGTATTTCCTTTTTCACCATGAGCCTCAAACCACATGCAGCTATCCCTTTGCAGATCCTAGGAAATGATTGTTTCCAATCTGATCAATCAAAAGAAATGATCTACTGTGTGGGATGAATGCACACATCACAAAGAATTTTCTCAGAAAGCTTCTGTCTAATTTTTAGGTGAAGATATTTCCTTTTTCAACTTAGGCCTCAAAGTGCTCACAAACATCCCTTTGCAGATTCTACAAGAACAGAGTTTCCAATCTGCTCAATGAAAAGAAACTTTTACCTCTGTGAGATGAATGCACACATCACAAAACAGTTTCTCAGAAGCCTTCTTTCTAGTTTCTATGTAAAGATATTTCCTTTTTCACCATAGGCTTGAAATGGCTCACAAATATCCCTTTGCAGACTCAACAAAAAGACTATTTCCAAATTCCTCAAAAAAAAGATAGGTTCAACTCTGTGAGATGAATGCACACATCACAAAGAAGTTTCTCAGGATGCTTCTGTCTAGTTTTTACCTGAAGATATTTCCTTTTTCACCATACGCCCTAAACCAGTCACAAATATCTCACTGCAGATACTGCAAAAAGACTTTTTCCACATTGCTCAATGAAAAGAAAGTTTCACCCCTGTGAGATGAATGCATACATCACAAAGAGTTTCTCAGAAGCCTTCTTTCTAGTTTTTATGTGAAGTTATTTCCTTTTTCATCATAGGTTTGAAACGGCTCACAAATATCCCTTTGCAGATTCTACAAAAAGACTATTTCCAAAATGCTCAAAAAAAACATAGGTTCAACTCTGTGAGATGAATGCACACATCACAAAGAAGTTTCTCAGAATGCTTCTGTCTGGTTTTTATGTGAAGATATTTCCTTTTTTACCGTAGGCCCTAAACAGGTCAAAAATATCCCTCTGCAGTTACTGCAAAAATACTTTTTCCACACTGCTCAATGAAAAGAAAGTTTCAACTCTGTGAGATGAATGCACACATGACAAAGAAGTTTCTAAGAGAGTTTCTTTCTAGTTTTTATGTGACAATATTTCCTCTTTCACTATAGGCTTCACAATGCTCAAAAATATCTCTTTGCAGATTATAAAAAAGACTGTTTCCAACTTGCTCAGTCAAAAGAAAAGTTCAGCTCTGTGAGATGAATGGACACAACTCAAAGAAGTTTCTCAGAAAGTTTCTGTCCAGTTTTTATGTGAAGAAATTTCCTTTTTCATGGTAGGCCTCAAAGGGCTCAAAAGTATCCCGTGGCAGATTCTACAAGAAAAGAGTTTCCATCCTCTCAATGAAAAGAAATGTTTACATCTGTGAGATGAATCCACACATCACAAAGCAGTTTCCCAGAAACATTCTGTCTAGTTTTTATGTGAAGATATTTCCTTTTTCACCATAGGCCTCAAAGGGTTCAAAAATATCCCTTTGCAGACTCTACAAAAAGATTGGTTCCAGTCTGCTCAATCAAAATAAAGGCTCAACTATGTCAGATGAATGCACCTGAGACAAAGAATGTTCTCAGAAAGCTTCTGTCTAGTTTTTATGTGAAGATATTTCCTTTATCACCATATTCCTAAAAGCACTCAAAAATGTCCCATCACAGATCCACAAAAAGACTGGTTCCAAACTGCTCAATCAAAAGAAAGTTTCACCTCTGTGAGATGAATGCACACATCAAAAAGAAGTTTCTCAGAAAGCTTCTGTCTAATTTTTATGTGAAGTCATTTCCTTTTTCACCATAGGTTTCAAAAGGCTCACAAATATCCCATTGCAGATTCTAAAGAAAGACTGTTTCCACACTACTCAATGAAAACAAAGTTTCAATTCTGTGAGATGAATGTACACATCACAATGCTGTTTCTCAGAAAGTTTTTCCCTAGTTTTTATGTGAAGATATTTCCTTTTTCACCATAGGCCACAAGGGCTCACAAATATGCCTTTGCAGAATCTATGAAAAGACTGGTTCCAAACTGCTCAATCAAAAAAAGATTCTACTATGTGAGATGAATGTACACATCATGATGCTGTTTCTCAGAAAGCTTCTGTCTAGTTTTTATGTGACGATATTTCCTTTTTCACCATAGGCCTCAAAGAGTTCACAAATATCCCATTGCAGATTCCTAGGAAAGACTGTTTCCACACAGCTCAGTCAAAAGAAAGTTTGAACTCTGTGAGATGAATGCAAACATCACAAAGAAGTTTCTCAGAAAGCTTCTGTCTAGTTTTTTGGAGAAGATATTTCCTTTTTAACCATGGGCCTCCAATCACTCACAAATATCCCTTTACAGATTCTACAAAAAGACTGCTTCCCAACTACTCAATCAAAAGAGAAGTTCAACTCTGTGAGATGAATGCACACATCACAAAGAAGTTTCTCAGAATGCTTCGGTCTAGTTTTTATGTGAAGATATATACTTTTTCACCACAGACCAGAAAGCATTCACAAATATCCCTTTGCAGATTCTACAAAAAGAGTGTTTCAAAACTGCAATATCAAAAGAAAGCTTCAAATCTGTGAGATGAATACACATATCACAGAGAAGTTTGTCAGAAAGCTTCTGTCTAGTATTTATGCTAAAATGTTTCCTTTTTCACATTTGGCCTCAAACTGCTCACAAATATCCCTTTGAAGATTCTACTAAAAGACTTTTTCCAAACTCCTCAATCAAAAGAAAGGTTCAGCTCTGTGAGATGAATGGACACAACACAAAGTGCTTCTCAGAAAGCTTCTCTCTAGTTTTTATGTGAATATATTTCCTTTTTCACCATAGGCCTCAAAGGGCCCAGAAATATCCCATTGCAGATTCTGAAGAAAGACTGTTTCCACCCTGCTCAATCAAAAGAAAAGTTCAAATCTTTGAGATGCATGCCTCCATCACAAAGTAGTTCATGAGAAACCTTTTCTCTAGTTTTTATGTGAATATATTTCGTTTTTCACCATTGGCATGAAACCGCTCACAAATATCCCTTTGAAGAATCTACAAAAAGACTGTATCCAAGCTCCTCAATCCAAAGAAGGTTCAACTCTGTGAGATGAATGCGCTCATCACAAAGAAGTTTCTCAGAAGTCTTCTGACTAGTTTTTATGTGTAGATATTTCCTTTTTCACCATAGGCTTTAAAGTGCTTACAAATATCCCTTTGCAGATCCTACAAGAACAGAGTTTCCAATCTGGTCAATAAGAAGAAATGCTTACGTATGTGAGATGAATGAATACATCACAAAGCAGTTTCTCAGAAACAGTCTGTCTAGTTTTCATGTGAAGATATTTTCTTTTTCACCATAGACCTCAAATCACTAATAAATATCCCTCTGTAAATTCTACAAAAAGATTGTTTCCAAACTGATCAATCAAAAGAAAGGTTCAACTCGGTGAGATGAATGCCCACATCACAACGACACTTCTCATAAAGCTTCTGTCTAATTTTTATGTGAAGATATTTCCTTTTTCAACATAGGTCTCAAAGCACTCATAAATATCAATTGCACATTCTACAAAGAGACTGTTTCCAAACTGCTCAATCAAAGGAAAGTTTCCACTCTGTGAGATGAATGCACACATCAAAAGGAGTGTTCTCAGAAAGCTTCTGTCTGGTGTTTGCGTGAAGATATTTCCTTTTTCACCATTGGCCTCAAAGTGCTCACAAACATCCCTTTGTAGATCCTACAAAAACACTGTTTCCAAACTGCTCAATCAAAAGAAAGTTTCAACTCTATTAGATGAAAGCACTCATCACAAAGAAGTTTCTCAGATTCTATCTAGTTTTATGTGAAGTTATTTCGTTTCTGCCATTGGTCTCAGCAGATTCTACAAGAACAGAATTTCCAATCTGCTCAATGAAAAGAAACTTTTATACCTGTGAGATTAATACACACATCACAACACAGTTTCTCAGAAACCTTCTGTCTAGTTTTTACATGAAGACATTTCCTTTATCACCATAGGCCTGAAACGGCTCACAAATATCCCCTTACAGATTCTACAAGAAAAGATTTTCTAATCTCCTCAAAGAAAGGAAACGATTTCCTCTGTGAGATGAATGCTCAATGGGCAAATCACTGTCTCAGAAAACTTCTGTCTAGTTTTTATGTGAAGATATTTCCTTTTTCACCATAGGCCTCAAAGGTCTCAGAAATATCCCTTTGCAGATTCTACCAAAGACTGTTTCCAAGCTGCTCAATGAAAAGAAAGATTCAATCTTTGAGAGGAATGCAGACATCACAAAGAAGTTCCTCAGAAAGTTTCTGTGTAGTTTTTATGTGAAGATATTTCCTTTTATACCATAGACCACAAAGCACTCAAAAATATCCCTTTGCAGATTTTAGAAGAAGAGTGTTTCCAATCTACTTAACTAAAAGAAACATTTACCACTGTGAGATGAATAGACACATCAAAAAGCAGTTTCTCAGAAACATTCTGTCTAGTTTTTAATGTGAAGATATTTCCTTTTTCAGCATAGGCCTCAAACCGCACACAAATATCCCTTTGCACATTCTAGAAAAAGTCTGTTTCCAAACTGCTTAATCAAAAGAAAAGTTCAAATCTGTGAGATGAATGGACACATCACAAAGAACTTTCTTGTGAAGCTTCTGTCTAGTTTTTATGTGAAGATATTTCCTTTTTCACTATGGGCCTCAAAGGGCTCACAACTATCACTATGCAGATTCTGCAAAAAGACATTTTCAAAACTGCTCAATCAAAAGAAAGTTTCAACTCTGTGGTATGACTGCACACATCACAAAGAGGTTTCTCAGAAATCTTCTGTATAGTTTTTATGTGAAGATAATTCCTTTTTCACCATAGAACTCAAAGCACTCAAAAAATCCATTTGGAGATTCTACAAGAACATATATTCCAATCTGCTCAATGAACAGAAACTTTTACCTCTGTGAGATGAAAGCGCACTTCACAAAGCTGTTTCTCAGAAAACTTCTGTCTAGTTTTTATGGGAAGATATTTCTTTTTTAAGATAGACCTCACAGCACTCACAAAAGTCCCTTTGCAAATTCTCCAAAAGAGTGTTCCAAACTGCTCAATCAAAAGAATGGTTCAACTCTGTTAGAGAAAGGCACACACTACAAGGAACTTTCAGAAAGTGTCTGTCTAGTTTTTATGTGAAGATATTTCCTTTTTCACCATAGGACTCAAAGCGCTCACAAATATTCCTTTGCAGATTCTACAAGAACAGAGATTCCAAACTGGTCAATTAAAAGAAACGTTTACCTCTATGAGATGAGTGCACCTATCACTAAGCAGTTTCTCAGAAACCATCCTTCTAGTTTTCATGTGAAGATATTTCCTTTTACACTGTAGGCCTCAAACGGCTCACAAATATCCCTTTGAAGTTTCTACAATAAGACTGTTTCCAAACTACATAATACACAGAAAGGTTCAACTCTGTGAGATAAATGCACACATTACAAAGAAGTTTCTCAGAAGGCTTCTGTGTATTTTTTATGTGACTATATTTCCTTTTTCACCATAGGCATCAAAATGCTCACAAATATCCCTTTGCAGATTCTACACGAACAAGGTGTCCAAACTGCTTAAAGAAACGTTTACCTCTGTGAGATGAGTGCACACATAACAGTGCAATTTCTCAGAAACCTTTCTAGTATTTATGTGAAGATATTTCCTTTTTCACCATAGACATCAAAGAGCTCACAAATATCCCTTTGCAGATTCTAGAAGACAGGGTTTCCAAACTGCTTAATGAAAAGAAAAGTTTCCCTCTGTGACATGAATGCACACATCACAAAGCAGTTTATCAGAAATCTTCTTTGTAGTTTTTATGTGAAGATATTTCCTTTTTCACCATAGGCCTCAAAGGGCTCACAAATATCCCTTTGCAGATTCTACCATAAGACTGTTTCCAAACTGCACAATCAAAAGAGTGGTTTAACTCTGTGAGATGAATGTACACATCACTAAAAAGTTTCTCAGAAAGCTTCTGTCGTGTTTTTATGTGAAGATATTTCGTTTTTCACCATAGGCCTCATGGCTTTCAAAATATTGCTTGCAGATTCTAGAAGAACAGAGTTTCCAAACTGCTCAATGAAAACAAACGTTTACTTGTGTGAGATGAATGCACACATCACAAAGTAGTGTCTCAGAAATCTTCCTTCTAGTTTTCATGTGAAGAAATTTCCTTTTTCACCATAAGCCTCGACACAATTCCAAATATCCCTTTGCCAATTCTAAAAAAATACTCTTTACACACCATTCAATCAAAGGAATGTTTCAACTGTTTGATATGAATGTACACCTCACAAAGAAGTTTCTCGGAAAGCTTCTGTCTAGTTTTTATTGTTGATATTTCCTTATTCACCACAAAAATAAAAGCACTCAGAATTATCCCTCTGCAGATTCTAGAATAACAGAGTTTCCAAACTGCTCAATGAAAAGAATTGTTTACCTCTGTGAGATTAATGCACGCATCACTAAGCAGTTTCTCAGATAATTTCTTTCTATTTTTTTTTGAGACAGAGTCTCAATCTGTGGCCCAGGCAGGAGTGCAGTGTTGCAATCTTGGCTCACTGCAAGCTCTGCCTCCCAGGTTCATGTCATTCTCCTGCCTCAGCCTCCCGAGTAGCTGGGACTACAGGCACCCGCCATCATGCCTGGCTAATTTTTTTATATTTTTAGTAGAGACGGGGTTTCACCATGTTAGCCAGGATGGTCTCGATCTCCTGACCTTGTGATCCACCCATCTCGGCCTCCCAAAGTGCTGGGATTACAAGCGTGAGTCACTACACCTGGCCTCTTTCTATTTTTTATGTGAAGATATTTCCTTTTTCAACATAGGCCTTAATGCACTCCCAAATATCATTTTGCAGATTCTACAAAAAGATTTTTCCAAACTGCTCAATCAAAAGAATGGGTCAGCTCTGTGAGATGAATGCACACATCACAAAGTAGTTTCTCAGAAAGCTTCTGCCTATTTTTTATGTGAAGATATTTCCTTTTTCACCATAGTCCTCAAAGCTCTCACAAATATCCCTTTGCAGTTTCTCCAAGAACAGAATTTCCAAACTCCTCAATGAAAGGAAATGTTTAGTTCTGTGAGAGGAACGACCACATCACAAAGCAGTTTCTCAGAAAGCTTCTTTCTAGTTTTCATGTGAAGATATTTCCTTTTTCTCCATAGGCCTCAAAGGGCTCACAAATATCCCTTTGCAGACTCTACAAAAAGACTGGTTCCAAAGTGCTCAATGAAAAGAAAGTTTCAACTCTGTTAGATGAATGCACACATCACTAAGCAGTTTCTCAGATAGCTTCTGTCTTCTTTTTATGTGAAGATATTTCCTTTTTCACCATAGACCTCAACGTATACCTAATACCCCTTTCCAGATACTACAAAAAGACTGTTTCCAAACTCCTCCACCAAAAGAATGGTTCAACTCGGTGAGAGAAAAGAACACATCAAAAAGTAGTTTCTCAGAATGCTTCTGTCTAGTTTTTATGTGAAGATATTCCCTTTTCCGGCATAGGCCTCAAAGCACTCCAAATATCCACTTGCAGATTCTTCAAATAGAGTGTTTCAAATCTTCTCAAACAAAAGAATGGTTCAACTCTGTGAGATGAATGCACACATCACAAAGAAGTTTCTCAGAATGCTTCTGTCTAGGTTTTCTGTGAAGATATTTCCTTTTTCATCATTGGTCCCAAAGCACTCACAAATATCCCTTTACAGATTCATGAAGCACAGAATTTCTAAGTTGCTCAATGGAAAGAAACGTTTACTTCTGTTAGATGAATGCATACATCAGAAAGCCATTTCTCAGAAAGCTTCTTTCTAGTTTTTATGTGAATATATTTCCTTTTTCACCATAGATATCAAATTTCTCCCAAATATGTCTTTGTAGATACTACAAAAAGACTGTTTCCATACTGCTCAATGAAAAGAATGGAAAAACTCTGTGAGATGAATGCACACCTCACAAAGCAATTTCTCAGAAACCTTCTGTCTAGTTCGTTTCTGAAGATATTACATTTTGACCATAGGACTCAATGTGCTCCTAAAAAAACATTGTTTCTGAACTGTTCCATCAAAAGAAGGATTTAATTCTGTGAGATGAGTCACACATCAGAAATCAGTTTCTCATAACGCTTCTTTCCGGTTTTTATTTGAAGATATTTCATTTTCACCGTATGTTATTTTGTGCTACCAAATTTCGCTTCATTGTTTTTGCAAAAAGAGTTTTCCAAACTACTCTATCAAAAGAAAGATTAAACTCTGTAAGATGAATGCATGCATCACAGAGCTGTTTCTCAAAAACCACTTTCTAGTTTTTATCTGAAGATATTTCCTTTAACACCATAGGCATCAGTGCACTCCCAAATATCCCTTTGAAGATGCCACCAGAAACACTGTCTCCAAACCACTCAATCAAAAGAAACGTTAAAAACTGTGAGAAGAATTCACACATCACAAAGTGGCTTCTCAGAATTCCTCTTTCTCTTTTTTATCTGAAGTAATTTCCTTTTCCCCATAGGCCTCAAGTGCTCCTAAATATCCCTTCCCAGATTCTACAAAAACAGTGTTTCCAAAGTGATCCATCGAAGGAAAGGTTTAACTCTGTGAGATGAATGCACACATCAAAACCCAGTTTCTCAAAATGTTTCTTTTGAGTATTTTTCTGAAGATAATTCCTTTTTAACCATAGGCTTCATTGAGCTCCAAAATACCCCTTCGCAGATTTGACAAACACAGTGTTTACAAACTTTTCGATCAAAAGAAAGACTTAACTCGGTTAGGAGAATGCAGACATCAGAAAGCAGTTTCTCGTAATGCTTCTTTCTAGTTTTTATCTGAAGACATTTCCTTATTCACTATAGGCTTTTTCACTAAAAATATCACTTCACAGATTTTGGAAAAACAATGTTTCCAAACTCCTCAGTTTAACTCTGTGAGATGAATGCACACATCACAAACCAGATTATCAAAAAGCTTCTTTCTAGTTTTTCTCTGAAAATATTTCCTATATCACCATAGGTTTCAATGTGAGCCCAAATATCCCTTTGCAGATTCTAAAAAAACAGTGCTTCCAAACTGCTCAATCAGAAGAAACGTTGAACTATGTGAGAAGAATGCACTTATCATAAAGCGGTTTCTCAGAAAGCTTCTTTCTAGTTTTTATCTGAAGTTATTTCCTTCTTTCCCATAGGCCTCAGGGGCTCCCAAATATCCCTTGGTACATTCTACATAAACAGTGTTTTCAAACTGATCAATCAAAAGAGAGGCTTAACTCCTTGAGATGAATGCACACATCACAAAGCAGTTTCTCAAAAATATTCTTTCTAGTTTTTAATCCGAAGATATTTCCTTTTTCAGCATAGGCTTAAATGAGATCGCAATTATCCCTTGCAGAACCTACAAAAATGGTGTTTCCAAACTGCTCAATCAAAAGAAAGGTTTAACTCTCTGAGATGAATGCACACAAAACAAAGCAGTATCTCAGAATGCTTCTGTCTAGTTCTTTCTCTTAATATATTTCCTTTTCCATCGTATGCTTAAATACACTTTGAAATATCCCTTCACAGTTTCTATAAAAACAGTTTTTCTGAACTGTTCCATCAACAGAAGGATTTAAGTGTGTGAGATGAATGTACACATCAGAAATCAGTTTCTCATAATGCTTCTTTCCATTTTTTTATCTGAAGATATTTCTTTGTTCACCATAGGCTTTCTTGTGTTACCTAATATTGCTTCACAGATATTGCAAAAACAGTGTTTACAAGCTGCCACATAAAAAGAAAGGTTTAACTCTGTGAGATGAATGCACACATCACAAAGCAGTTTCTCAAAACGCTTCTTTCCGTTTTGTATAGAATGATATTTTCTTTAACAACGTAGGTTTCAATGGGCTCCAAAGTATCTCATCACAGATTCTACAAAAATAGTTTGCAAATTGCTCAATCAAAAAAGAAATTTAACTCTGTGAGTTGAATGCACTCGTCACAAAGAATTTTCTCAAAAACCTCCTTTCTAGTTTTTCATGGAATATATTTCCTTTTTCACCATATGCCTCAGTGCACTCCCAAATATACATTTGCAGATTCTACAAAAACAGTGTTTCCAAACTTCTGAATGAAATGAAAGTTTTAACTCTATGAGATGAATGCACACCTCCCAGAGCAGATTCTCAGATAGCTTCTGAGTAGTTCTTCTCTGAAGATATTTCTTTTTCCACCCTAGGCCTCAATGTGCTCCCAAATATCCCTTTGCAGTTTCTATAAAAGGTGTTCGTGAACAGTTCCTTGAAAAGAAGCATTTAACTATGTGAGATGAATGCACACATCAGAAAGCAGTTTCTCAATACATTCTTTCTGGTTTTTATCTGAAGATATTTCCTTGTTCACCACAGGCTGTTTTGCACTAGCAAAAATCACTTCACAGATTTTCCAAAAACAGTGTTTCCAAACTGCTCAGTCAAAAGAAAGATTTAACTCTGTGAGATGAACGCACACATCACAAAGCAGTTTCTCAGAAAGATTCTGTCTAGTTCTTCTCTGATGATATTTCCTTTTACACCATAGGCCTCAATGTGCTTGCAAATATCCCTGTGCAGAGTCTTCAAAAACAGTGTTTCCAAATTTTTCCATCAAAAGAAGAACTTAACTCTGTGAGATGAATGTACACATCAGAAAGCAGTTTCTCATAATGCTTCTTTCCAGTTTTTATCTGAAGATAGTTCCTTTTCCATCATAGGCTTTTCTGCACTACATAATATCGCTTCACACGTTTTGCAAAAACAGGGCTTCCAAGCTACTCAGTCAAAAGAAAGATTTCATTCTGTGAGGTGAATGCACACATCACAAAGCATTTTCTCAAAAAGCTTCTTTCTAGTTTTTATCTGAAGTTATTTTCTTAATCACCATAGGCTTTAATGCACTCCCAAATATCCCATCACAGGATATACAAAAACAGTGTTTCCAAATTACTCAAACAAAAACCAGGTTTATCTGTTTGTTGAATGCACACATCACAAAGCAGTTATTCAAAAAGCTTCTTTCAAGTTTTAATCCAAAGATATTATCTTTTTCAACATAGGCCTCACTGCCCTCCAGAATATCCCTTTGCAGATTCTACAAACACAGTGTTTCCAAACTGATCAATCAAAAGAATGGTTTACCTCTTTGACATGAATGCACTCATCACAAGGCAGTTTATCAAATAGCTTCTGTCTAGTTCTTCTGTGAAGATATTTCCTTTTCCACCATAGGCCTCAATGTGCTCCCAATTATCCCTTTGCAGATTCTATAAAAACAGTGCTTCTGAACTGTTCCATCAAAAGAAGGACTTAAATCTGTGGGATGAATGCACAAATTAGAAAACAGTTTCTCATAACGCTTCTTTCCAGTTTTATCTGAAGACATTTCCTTGTTCACCCTAGGCATTTTTGCGCTACGTAGCATTGCTTCACAGATTACACAAAAAGAGTTTTTTCCAAAGTGTTCAGTGAAAAGAAAAGTTTAGCTCTGTGAGATGAGTTCATACATTACAAAGCACTTTTTCAAAAAGTTTCTTTTAACTTTTTATCCAAAGATATTTCCCTTTTCACAATAGGCCTCAATGGGCTCCACAGTATCCTTCACAGATCCTGTAAAAAAAAAGTATTTCCAAACTGCTCAATCAAAAGCAATGTTTAACTCTGTGAGATGAATGCACACATCACAAAGCAGTTTCTGAAAAAGCTTCTTTCTAGTTTTTATCTGAAGTTATTTCCTTTATCACCATAGCTTAAACACATTCCCAAATATCCCATCACCAATTCTACAAAAAAAGTGTTTCCAAACTCCTCAATCAAAGCATAGGTTTAACTCTGTGAGCTGGATGCACACCTCACAAAGCAATGTCTCAAAAAGCGTTTTTCTTGTTTCTACAAGAAGATATTTCCTTTTTCACCATAGGACTCAGTGCGCTGTAAAATATACTTTTGCAGACTCTACAAAAACAGTGTTTCCAAACTGCTCAATCAATGGAAAAATTTAACTCTGTGAAATGGGTGCACACATCAAAGCAGTTTCCCAAATAGCTTCTATCTAGTTCTTCTCTGAAGATATTTCCTTTTCCACAATAGGCCTCAATGGGCTCCCAAACATCCCTTCGCAGATTCCATAACAACAGTGTTTCTGAACTGTTCCATCAAAAGAAGGAATTAAATCTGTGAGATTAATGCACTCATGAGAAAGCAGTTTCTCAGAATGCTTCTTTTCTCTTTTCATCTGAAGATATTTCCTTGTTCACCATACTCCTTTTTGTGCTACCTAACATTGCTTCGCAGACTATACAAAAATAGTTTTTCCAAACTGCTCTATCAAAAAACAGGTTTAAGTCTGTGAGTTGTACTCACACATCACACAGCAGTTTCTCAAAAAACTTATTTCTTTTTTTATCTGAATATATTTCCTTTTTCACCATAGGCCTCATTGCACTCCCAAGTATACCTATGCAGATTCTACAAAAACAGTGTTTCCAAATTGCTGAATCAAAAGAAAGGTTTAACTCTGTGCGATGAGTGCACACATCCCAAAGCATTTTCTCAGATAGCTTCTGACTAGTTCTTCTCTGAAGATACTTCCTTTTCACTGTAGGCCTCGATGTGCTCCCAAATATCCCTTCCCAGATTCAGTAAAAAAAGTGTTTCTGAGCTGTTAAATCAAAAGAAGGATTTACGTCTGGATGAATGCACACATCAGAAAGAAGTTTCTCGTAACACTTCTTTCCAGTTTTTATCTGAAGATATTTGTTTTCCACCATAGGCTTTTTGTACTACCTAACATCACTTTGCAGAATATACAAAAACAGTGTTTCCAAACTGCTCAGTCAACAGAAAAGTTTAACTCGCTGAGATGAATGCACACATCACAAAGCTGTTTATCTAAAAGCTATTTTCTAGTTTTTATCAGAAGATATTTCCTTTTTCACCATAGGCATCAGTGTACTCACAAATATCCCTTTGCAGATTGTACAAAAACAGTGTTTCCAAACTGCTCAATCAAAAGAAACATTTAACTCTGTGAGAAGAATGCACACATCACAAAGTTGTTTATCAGAAAGATTCTTTCTATTTTTATCTGAAGTTATTTCCTTTTTCACCATAGGACTCATGCCCTACAAATTATCCCTCACAGATTCTAAAATAACAGTATTTCCTAACTGATCAACCAAAAGAAAGGTTTAGCTCTGTGATATGAATGCACACATCACAAGACACTTTCTCAGATAGCTTCTGTCTCGTTCCCCTCTGAAGATATTTCCTTTGTCACATTAGGCCTGAAGGTGATCCCAAATATCCCTCCGCAGAATCTGTAAAATCATTGTTTCTGAACTGTTCCATCAAAAGAAGGATTTAATGCTGTGAGATAAATGCACACATCAGAAAGCAGTTTCTCATAAAGGTTTTTCCAGTTTTTATATGAAGACATTTCCTTGTTCACCATAGGCCTCTTTTGTGCTACCTAACATCGCTTTGCAGATTTTACAACAAGAGTGTTTCCAAACTGCTCAATCAATAGAAAGGGTTAATTCTTTGAGATGAATGCAAACATCACAACACAGTTTCTCATAAAGGTTTCACCTTGTTCTCCTACGAAGATGTTTCCTGGCCTCAATATGCTCCCTAATATCCCTTCTCAGATTATACAAAAACAGTGTTTTGAAACAGCTCCATCAAAAGAAGGACTTCACTCAATGAGATGAACGCATACATCAGAAAGCAGCTTCTCATAAAGCTTCCTTCCAGTATTTATCTGAAGATATTTCCTTGTTCACAATAGGTTTTTTGTGCAACCTAGTATTGCTTTGTATATTTCACAGAAACAGTGTTTCCAAACTGCTCATTCAAATCAAAGGTTTAACTCTGTGAAATGAATGCACACATCACAAAGCAATTCCTCAATATCTTCTTTCTAGTTTTTATCCAAAGATATTTCCTTTTTCACCACAGGCTTCAATGGGCTCCCAAATATCCCATCAGAGATTCTACAAAAGTACTGTTTCTAAACTGCTCAATCAAAAACAGGTTTAACACTGTCAGTTGAATGCACATATCACAAAGCAGTTTCACAAATGTTTCTTTCTAGTTTTTATCTGAAGATATTTTCTTTTTCTTCATAGGCCTCAGTGAGCTCCCAAATACACATCTGCAGATTCTACAAAATCAGGGTTTCCAACTGCTCAATCAAAAGAAGGACTCAACTCTGTGAGATGAACGCACACATCAGGAAGCAGTTTCTCAAAAACCTTCTCTCTACTTTTTAACTGAACATATTTCCTTTTAAACCATAGGTCTCTGTGTGCTCCCAAATATACCTTTGCAGATTCTACAGAAACAGTGATTCCAAACGCTTCAATCAAAAAAAAGTTTTAACTCTGGGTGATGAATGCATGCATCACAAAGCAGTTTCTCACATAGCTTCTGTCAAGTTTTTCTCTGAAGATATTTCCTTTTCCACCATAAACTTCAATGCCCTCAGAAATATCCCTATACAAATTCTATAAAAACAGTGTTTCCAAACTGTTTCATCTAAAGAAGGATTTAACTCAATGAGATGAATGTACACATCAGAAAGCAGTTTCTCATAATGTTTCATTCCAGTTTTTATCTGAAGATATTTCCTTGTTCATCATAGGCCTTTTTGCACTACAGAACATCGCTTTGCAGATTATACAAAAACAGTGTTTCCAAACTGCTCAGTCAGAAGAAAAATTTAACTCTGTGAGATGAATGCACACATCACAAAGCAGTATTTGGAAAAGTTTCTTTCTAGTTTTTATCTGAAGATGTTTCCTTTTTCCCCATAGGCTTAGTGTGCTTGCTAATATCCCTTTGCAGATTCTACAAAAATAGTGTTTCCAAACTGTTCCATCAAAAACAGTGCTTCAAAAAAACACTACAAAAACTGCTTCCAAACTGTTTCCAAACCGTTCAATCAAAAGAAACGTTTAACTCTGTGAGAGGAATGCACACATAACAAAATGGTTTCTCAGAAAGCTTCTTTGTGGTTTTTATCTGAAGTTATTTCCCTTTTCACAAGAGACCTCGTGTCCTCCAAAATATCCCTTGCAGGTCCTTCAAAAACCGTATTTCCAAACTGATCAATCAAAAGAAAGCTTTAACTCTGTCACACGAATGTACGCATCACAAAGCGGTTTCTCAGGAAGCTTCTGTCTAGTTCTTCTCTGAAGATATTTCCATTTCCAAGATAGACCTCAGTGCGTGCCCAAATATCCCATTGCAGATTCTACAAAAACTGTGTTTCCAAACTGTTCCATCAAAAGAAGGACTTAACTCAGTGAGATGAATGCCCATATCAGAAAGCAGTTTCTCATAACACTTCTTTGCTGTTTTTATCCGAAGTTATTTCCTTTTTCACCATAGGCTTCAATGAGCTCCCAAATATCCCTTCACAGACTCTACAAAAACAGTGTTTCCAAACTCCTCAAACACAAAAAAGATGTAACTCTGTGAGATGAATATACTTATCCCAAAGCAGTTTCTCAGAAAGCTTCTTTCTAGTTTTTCTCTGAAGATATTTCCTTTTCCACCACAGGATTCAATGCACGCCCAAATATCCCTTTGCAGTTTCTACAAAAACAGTGTTTCCAAACTATTTTATCAAAAGAATGATTTAACTCTGTGAGATGAACGCATATATTTGAGAGCCATTTCTCATAATGCTTCTGTCCAGTTTTTATGTGAAGATATTTCCTTTTTCACCATTGGCTTTTTTGTGCAACCAAATGTCACTTTGCAGATTTAGCAAAAACATCGTTTCCAAACTACTCACTCATAAGAAAGGTATAATTTTGTGAGATGAATGCACACATTACAAGGCAGTTTCTCAAAAAGCTTCTGTCTAGTTTGTGTCTGAAGATATTTTCTTTATCACAATAGGCTTCAATGCACTCCCAAATATCCCTTTGCAGATTCTACGAAAACAGTGTTTACAAAGTGCTCAATTAAAAAAAGAGGTTTAACACTGTGAGTTAAATGCACACTTCACCAAGTAGTTTCTCAAAAAGTTGCATTCTGTTTTTAGCCAAAGATGTTTCCTTTTTCACAATAGGCAACAGTGCTCTCTCAAATATACCTTTGCAGTTTTTAAAAACACTGTGTTTCCAAACTGCTCAATCAATAGAAAGGTTTAACTCTGTTAGGTGAAAGCACATATCACAAAGCAGTTTCTCAGAAAGCTTCTGTCTAGTTATTCTCTGAAGATATTTCCTTTTCCATGTCAGGATTCAATGCGCTCCTAAATGTCCCTTCTCAGATTCTACAAAAACAGTGTTTCCAAACTGCTCAATCAAAAGAAAGGTTTAACTCTGTGAGATGAATGCACCCATCACAAAGCACTTTCCCAGAAAGTTTCTGTCTAGTTCTTCTCAGGATATTTCCTTTTAAAGCATAGGCCTCAATACACTCCCTAATATCCCTTTGGAGATTCTACAAAGACAGTGTTTTGAAACTATTCCATCAAAAGAAGGTATTAACTCGGTGAGATGAATGCACACATCAGAGAGCAGTTCCTCATAATGCTTTTCTCCAGTTTTTATCTGAAGATATTTTCTTTTTCACCATAGGATTTATTGTGCTATCTAATATTGCAGATTTCACAAAAACAGCGTTTCCAAAACTTCTCAGTCAACAGAAAGGCTTAACTCTGGGAAATGAATGCACACATCAGAAAGCAGTCTCTCAAAAAGCTTCTTTGTAGTTTTTATGCAAAGGTATTCCCTTTATCACAATAGGCTTCAATGTGCTTCCAAATATCCCATCGCATATTCTACAAAAACAGTGTTTCCAAACTGCTGAATCAAAAAACAGGTTTACCTCTGTGAGATGAATGCACACATCACAAAGCAGTTTCTGAGAATGCTTCTATCTAATTCTTCTCTGAAGATATTTAATTTTCCCCCATAGGCCTCAATGAGCTCCCAAATATCCCTTCACACATTCTAAATAACAGTGTTTCCAAACTGTTACATCAAAAGAAGGACTTAACACTGTGAGATTATTGCACACGTCAGAAATCAGTTTCTCACAATGCTTCTTTCCAATTTTTATCTGATGATATTTCCTTTTTCACCATAGCGTTTTTCGCACTATCTATTATCGCTTCTCAGATATTGCAAAAACAGAGATTCCAATCTGCTCAGTCAAAAGAAAGGTTTACCTCTGTAAGGTGAATGCACACATCACAAAGCAGTTTCTCAAACATCTCTTTTCTAGTTTTTATCTGAAGATATTTTGCTTATCACTACAGGCTTCAATGCACTCCAAAATACCCATTACAGATTCTACTAAAACAGTGTTTCCAAAATGCTAAACCAAAAAACAGGCTTAACTCTGTGAGTTGAATGCACACATCACAAAGCAATTTCACAAAAAGCTTTTTCCTGGATTTTATCCAAAGATATTTCCTTTTTCAACATAGGCCTTGGTGCACTCCCAAATATACCTTTGCAGAATCTACAAAACCAGTGTTTCCAAACTGCTCAATGAAAAGAAACATTTATCTCTGTGAGAAGAAGTCACACATCCAAAAGAGGTTTCTCAGAAAGCTTCTTTTAAGTTTTTATCAGAAGTTATTTTCTTTTTCACCATAGGCCTCGTGAGTTCCCAAATATCCATTCGCAGTTTGTACAAAAACACTGTTTCCAAACTGATCATTCAAAAGATAGGTTTACCTCTGTGAGATGAATGCAAACATCACAAAAAAGTTTCTCAAAATACTTCTTTCTAGTTTATATCTGAATATATTTCCTTTTTCACCATAGGCCTAAATGTGCTTCTAAATATCCCTTCACACATTCTCCAAAAACAATATTTCCAAACTGATCAATCAAAAGAAACATTTAAATCTGTGAGAAGAATGCACACATCACAAAGTGGTTTCTCAAAAGGCTTCTTTGTAGTTTTTATCCAAAGTTATTTCCTATTTCCCCCAGGCCTCTGTGCACTCCCAAATACCTCTTCGCAGATTCTACCAAAACGGTGTTTCCAAACTGGTTCACCAAAGAAAGGTTTAACTCTGTGAGATGAATGCACGCATGTCAAAATAGTTTCTCAGAATGCAACTTTCTAGTTTTTACTTGGAGTTATTTCCTTTTTCTCCATTGGCCTCAATTCACTCCCAAATGACCCTTCACAGATCCTGCTGAAAGGCTGTTTCCAAATGGCACCATCAAAGGAAAGATTTAACACTGTGAAATGAATGTCCACATCACAAATCAGTGCCTCAGAAAGCTGCTTTCCAGTTTTTTTTTTTGAAGATATTTCCTGTTTCACCATAGGCCTTTTTGCACTACCAATCATCACTTCCCATATTATACAAAAACAGTATTTCCAAACTGCTCATTCAACAGAAAGTTTTAACTCTGTGAGATGAATGTACACATCACAAAGCAGTTTCTCAGAAAGCTTCTTTCTAGTTTTTATCTGAAGATATTTCCTTTAACAGCATAGGCCTCAATGTCCTCCCAAATATCCCTTCACAAATTCCTCAAAAACAGTCTTTCCAAACTGATCAATCAAAAGAAAGGTTTAACTTTGTGAGATGAATGCACTCATGACTAAGCAGTTTCTCAGAAAGCTTCTTTCTAGTTTTTATCAGAAGATATTTCCTTTTTCACCATAATTCTCAGTGCACTCCCAAATATTCCTTCGCAGATTCTACAAAAACAGTGTTTGCAGTCTGCTCAATCAAAAGAAAGGTTTAACTCTGTGAGATAAATGCACACATCACAAAGCAGTTTCTCAGAAACTTTCTTTGTAGTTTTTACTTGATGATATTTCCCTTTTCAGAGTGGGCCTCAATGCGCTCCCAAATATCCCTTTGCAGATTCTACAAAAACAGTGTTTCCAAACTGCTCAATCAAAAGAGAGGTTTACCTCTGTGAGATGTATGTACACATCACTAAGCAGTATCTCAGAAAAACTTTTGTAGTTTTTATTTGAAGGTATTTCCTTTTTCTCCATAGGCCTCAATGAGCTCTCAAATATCCCTTCACAGATTCTACAAAAACAGTGTTTCCAAACTGTTCAATCAAAAGAAATGTTTAACTCTGTGAGATTTAAACACCATAGGCATTGAAGGGCTCAAAAATATCCCTTTGCAGATACTACAAAAACAATGTTTCCAATCTGCTCAATCAAGTAAAAGCTTTAATTCTGTGAGATGAATGCTCACATCACAAAGCAGTTTCTCAGAAATCTTTTTTCTAGTTTTTATCTGTAGATATTTCCTTTTTCAGCATAGGCCTCCATTTGCTCCCAAATATTCCTTCACAGATTCTTCAAAAGGAGTGTTTCCAAACTTCTCAATCAAAAGAAAGGTTTGACTCTGTGATATAAATGCACACTTAACAAAGCATTGTCTTAGAAACGTTCTTTCTAGTTTTTACCTGAACACATTAACATTTTCACCATAGGCCTCAATGCGTTCCCTAATATCTCTTCACAGATCTACAAAAACACTGTTTCCAAACTCCTAAATCAAAGAAAGTTTTACATCTGTGAGGGGAAGACACACATCACAGAGAAGTTTGCAGAAAGCTTCTTTCTAATTTTTATCTGAAGATATTTCCTTTCTCAGCACAGGCCTCAGTGTGCTCTCATATCCCTTCATAGAATCTACAAAAACACTATTTCAAAACTGCTAAACCAAAAGAAAGTTTTATCGCTGTGAAATGAATGCAAACATCACAAAGCAGTTTCTCCTAATGCTTCTTTTTAGTTTTTATCTGAATGTATTTCCTTTTCCACTGTAGGCCTTGATGCCCTCCCAAATATACCTTTGCAGATTCTACAAAAACAGAGATTCTAAACTGCTCAATTACAAGAAAGGTTTATAATTGTGAGCTGAATGCACACATCACAAAGCCATGTCTCAGAATCTTTCTAATTTTTGTCTGAAGCTATTTCCTTTTTCCACATAGGCCTCAAAGCACTGCAAAATATCCCTTTGCAGATGGTACAAAGACAGTTTTTCCAAACTGCTTCATCAAAAGAAAGGCTTAACTGTAGGAGATGAATGCACTCCTCCCAAAGCAGTTTCTCAGAAAACTTCTGTCTTGTTTTTAACTGAAGACATTTCTTTTTTCAACATAGGCCTCAAATCACTCCCCTTTGCAGATTCTACAAAAACAGTGTTTCCAAGCTGCTCATTCAAAAGAATGTTTTAATGCTGTGAGATGAATGCAGACATCACAAAGTAGTTTCTCTGAAACCCTCTCTCTAGTTTTTCTCTGAAGATATTTCGTTTTTCACCTTGGCCTCAATGTGCTTCCTACTATCCCTTCACAGACTCTACAAAGATAGTGTTTCCAAACTGCTCAGTCAAATGAAAGTTTTGACTCTGAGAGACTAATGCACACATCACAAAACAGTTTCTCAGAACACTTATTTCTAGTATTTATCCGAAGATTTTTCACCATAGGTGTCAATGTGCTCCAAAATATCCCTTTGCAGATTCTATAAAAACAGATTCCAAACTGCTCAATCAAAAGGAAAGTTTACATCTTGAAATGAGTGCACACACAACAAAGCCGCGTCTCAGAAGCCTTCTTTCTAGTTTTTACCTGAAGATATTACCTTTTTCATCAAAGGTCTAAATATGCTCCCAAATATCCCTTTGCAGATTCTACAAAACCAGTGTTTTCAAGCTGCTCTTTAAAAAGAAAGGTTTAATTCTATGAGACCAATGGACACATCACAAAGCAGTTTCTCAGAAATATTCTTTCTAGTTTTGATCCGAAGATATTTCCTTTTTTTCTGTTGGCCTCAAAGCACTCTGAAATATCCCTTCACAATTTCTAACAAAACAGTTTTTCCAAAGTGCTGAATCAAAAAAAGCTTTAATTCTGTGAGATGAATTCACACATCACAAAGCAGTTTCTCAGAAATCTTCTATCTAGTTTTTATATGAGGGTATTTTATTTTTCACCATAGGCCTAATTACATTCCCAAATCTCCCTTCACAGATTCTACAAAAACAGTGTTTACAAAATGCTCAATGAAAAGAAAGTTTTGACTCTGTGACATGAATGCACACATCACAGAGCAGTTTCTCAGAAATATTTTTTGTTTTTATCTGGATATTTCCTTTTTCACCATAGGACTTAATGATCTCCCAATTATCCCTTCTCTGATTCTACAAAAACAGTGTTTCCAAACTGCTCAATCGAAAGAAAGGTTTACATCTGTGAGATGAATGCACACAGCACAAAGCTGTGTCTCAGAACCTTTCTTTCTATTTTTTAGCTGAAGATATCTCCTTTTTCACCATACACCTCAAAGTGTTCCAAAATATCCCTTTGCAGAATCTACAAAAAATGTGTGTCAAAACTGTTCAATGAAAAGAGGGATTTAACTCGGTGTGTTGTATGCACACATCTCAAATCAGTATCTCAGAAAATTTCTATGTATTTATTTGAAGATATTTCCTTTTTCATCATAGTCCTCAACGAGCTCCCAACTATCCCTTCAGAGATTCTACAAAAACAGTGTTTACAAACTGCTCAATCCAATGAAAGGTTTAACTCTGTGAGATAAATGCACACATCACAAAGCAGTGTCTCAGAATGGTTCTTTCTGTTTTTTTTATCTGAAGGTATTTTCTTTTTCACCATAGGCCCCAAATCCTTCCAAATATGCCTTCCCAGATTCTACGAAAACAGTGTTCCCAAAATACTCAATCAAAAGGAAGGTTTAACTGGGTGTGATGCATGCACACATCAAACAAAAGTGTCTCTGAAAGCTTCTTTCTAGTTTTTATCTGCAGATATTTCCTTTTTCAGCCTAGGACTGAATGCACTCCCAAATATCCCTTTGCAGTTTCTACAAAACATTGTTTCCAAACTGCTCAATCAAAAGTATGGATTACGTCTTTGAGAAAAACGTACACATCACAAAGCAGTTTCTCAGAAAGACTCATTCTAGTTGTTATCTGAAGATATTTCGTTTTCATCATAGGCCTCAAAGTGCTGCCAAATATCTTTTCCCAGATTCTACAAAAACAGTGTTTACAAGCTGCTCAATCAAAAGAAAGGTTTACCTCTGTGAATTGAATACTCACATCACAAAGCAGTTGCTCTGAAACCTTCTTTGTAGTTTTTATCTGAATGTACTTCCTTTTTCAGCCTAGGTCTCAAAGTGCTCTGAAACATCCCTTTGCCAATTCTACAAAAACAGTGTTTCAAAACTGCTCAATCAAAAGACAGGTTTAACTCTGTGAGATGAATCTACACATCACGAAGCGGTGTCTCAGAAATATTTTTTGTAGTTTTTACCTGAAAATATTACCATTTCTAGTATAGGCCACAATATTCTTCCTAATATCTCTGTGCAGGTTCCGCAAAAACAGCGTTTTCAAACTTCTCAACCAAAATAAAGGTTTACAGCTGTTGGATGATGGCACACATGAAAAAGCAGTTTCTCAGAAAGCTTCTTTCTAATTTTTATCGAAGATTTTCCCTTTTTTATCATAGGCTTCAATGAGCTCCCAAATATCCCTTCACAGATTATACAAAAACAGTGTTTCCACACTGCTCAATCAAAAACATGGTTTTACTTAAGTCTTTAATCCATCTTGAATTAATTTTTGTATAAGGTGTAAGGAAGGGATCCAGCTTCAGCTTTCTACATATGGCTAGCCAGTTTTCCCAGCACCATTTATTTAATAGGGACACCTTTCCCCATTGCTTGTTTTTCTCAGTTTTGTGAAAGATCAGATAGTTGTAGATATGAGGCATTATTTCTGAGGGCTCTGTTCTGTTCCATTGGTCTATATCTCTGTTTTGGTGCCAGTACCATGTTGTTTTGGTTACTGTAGCCTTGTAGTATAATTTGAAGTCAAGTAGCATGTTGCCTCCAGCTTTGTTCTTTTGGCTTAGCATTGAATTGGCAATGTGGGCTCTTTTTTGGTTCCATATGAAATTTAAAGTAGTTTTTTCCAATTCTGTGAAGAAAGTCATTGGTAGCTTGATGGGGATGGCATTGAATCTATAAATTACCTTGGGCAGTATGGCCATTTTCACGATATTGATTCTACCTGCCCATGAGCATGGAATGTTCTTCCATTTGTTTGTATCTTCTTTTATTTTATTGAGCAGCTGTTTGTAGTTCTCCTTGAAGAGGTCCTTCAATCCCTTGTAAGTTGGATTCCTAGGTATTTTATTCTCTTTGAAGCAATTGTGAATGGGAGTTCACTCATGATTTGGCTCTCTGTTTTTCTGTTATTGGTGTGTAAGAATGCTTGTGATTTTTGCACATTGATTTTGTATCCTGAGACTTTGCTGAAGTTGCTTGTCAGCTTGAGGAGATTTTGAGCTGAGACAATGGCATTTTCTAGATATACAGTCATGTCATCTGCAAACAGGGACCATTTGACTTCCTGTCTTCCTAACTGAATACCCTTTATTTCCTTCTCCTGCCTGATTGTCCTGGCTAGAACCTCCAACACTATGTTGAATAGGAGTGGTGAGAGAGGGCATCCCTGTCTTGTGCCAGTTTTCAAAGGGAATGCTTCCAGCTTTTGCCCATTCGATATGATATTTGCTGTGGGTTTGTCATAGAGAACTCTTATTATTTTTAGATATGTCACATCAATACCTAATTTATTGAGAGATTTTAGCATGAAGGATTGTTGAATTTTGTCAAAGACCTTTTCTGCATCTATTGAGATAATCACGTGTTTTTGTCTTTGTTTCTGTTTATATGCTGGATTACATTTATTGATTTATGTATGCTGAACCAGCCTTGCATCCCAGGGATGAAGCCCACTCGATCATGGTGGATACGCTTTTTGATCTGTTGCTGGATTCCGTTTGCCAGTATTTTATTAAGTATTTTAGCATCAATGTTCATCAAGGATATTGGTCTAAAATTCTCTTTTATTGTTGTGTCTCTGCCAGGCTTTGGTATCAGGATGATGTTGGCCTTATAAAATGAGTTAGGGAGGATTCCCTCTTTTCCTGTTGATTGGAATAGTTTCAGAAGGATTGGTACCAGCTCCTCCTTGTACCTCTGGTAGAATTCGGCAGTGAATCCATCTGGTCCTGGACATTTTTTGGTTCATAAGCTATTAATTATTGCCTCAAATTCAGAGCCTGTTATTGGTCTATTCAGAGATTCAACTTCTTCCTCGTTTAGTATTGGGAGGGTGTATGTGTTGAGGAAATTATCCATTTCGTCTACATTTTCTAGTTTATTTGCATAGAGGTGTTTATAGTATTCTCTAATGGTAGTTTATATTTATGTGGGATTGGTGGTGATATCCCCCTTATCATTTTTTATTGCATCTATTTGATTCCTCTCTCTTTATTAGTCTTGCTAGTGGTCTATCAATTTTGTTGCTCTTTTCAAAAAACCAGCTCCTGGATTAATTGATTTTTTGAAGGGTTTTTTGTGTCCTATTTCCTTCAGTTCTACTCTGATCTTAGTTATTTCTTGCCTTCTGCTAGCTTTTGAATGTGTTTGCTCTTGCTTCTCTAGTTCTTTTATTTGCGCTGTCCAGGTGTCAATTTTAGATCTTTCCTGCTTTCTCTTGTGGGCATTTAGTGCTATAAATTTCCCTCTACACACTGCTTTAAATGTGTCCCAGAGATTCTGGTATGTTGTGTCTTTGTTCTCGTTGGTTTCAAAGAACATATTTATTTCTGCCTTTATTTCATTATGTACCCATTAGTCATTCAGGAGCAGGTTGTTCAATTTCCATGTAGTTGAGCAGTTTCAAGTGAGTTTCTTAATCCTGAATTCTAGTTTGATTGCACTGTGGTCTGAGAGATAGTTTGTTATCATCTCTGTTCTTTTACATTTGCTGAGGAGTGCTTTATGTCCAACTATATGGTCAATTTTGGAATAAGTGTGGTGTGGTACTGAAAAAAATGTATATTCTGTTGATTTGGGGTGGAGAGTTCTGTAGATGTCTATTAGGTCCTCTTTGTGCAGAGCTGAGCTCAATTCCTGGATATTCTTGCTAACTTTCTGTCTCATTGATCTGTCTAATGTTGACAGTGGGATGTTAAAGTCTCCCATTGTTATTGTGTGGGAGTCTAAGTCTCTCTGTAGGTCACTAAGGACTTGTTTAATGAATCTGGGTGCTCCTGTATTGGGTGCATATATATTTAGGATAGTTAGCTCTTCTTGTTGAATTGATCCCTTTACCATTATGTAATGGCCTTCTTTGTCTCTTTTGATCTTTGTTGGTTTAAAGTCTGTTTTATCAGAGACTAGGATTGCAACCCCTGCCTTTTATTGTTTTCCATTTGCTTGGTAGATCTTCCTCCATCCCTTTATTTTGAGCCTATATGTGTCTCTGCACGTGAGATTGGTCTCATGAATACAGGACAATGATGAGACTTGATTCTTTATCCAATTTGTCAATCTGTGTCTTTTAATTGGAGCACTTAGCCCATTTACATTTAAAGTTAATATTGTTATGTGTGAATTTGATCCTGTCATTATGATGTTAGGTAGTTATTTTGCTCGTTAGTTGATGCAGTTTCTTTCTATCATCGATGGCCTTTACAATTTGGCATGTTTTTGCAGTGGCTGGTACCGGTTGCTCCTTTCCATGTTTAGTGCTTCCTTCAGGAGCTCTTGTAGGGCAGACCTCGTGGTGACAAAATCTCTCAGCATTTGCTTGTCTGTAAAGGACTTTATTTCTCCTTCACTTATGAAGCTTAGTTTGGCTGGATATGAAATTCTGGGTTGAAAATTCTTTTCTTTAAGAATGTTGAATATTGGGCCCCCTTCTCTTCTGGTTTGTAGAGTTTCTGCTGAGAGATCAGCTGTTAGTCTGATGGGCTTCCCTTTGTGGGTAACCAGACCTTTCTCTCTGGCTGTCCTTAACATTTTTTCCTTCATTTCAACTTTGGTGAATCTGACAATTACGTGCCTTGGAGTTGCTCTTCTTGAGGAGTATCTTTGTGGACTTCTCTGTATTTTCTGACTTTGAATGTTGGCCTGCCTTGCTAGGTTGGGGAAGTTCTCCTGGATAATATCCTGCAGAGTGTTTTCCAACTTGTTTCTATTCTCCCCGTCACTTTCAGGTACAGCAATCACAAGTAGATTTGGTCTTTTCACATAATCCCATATTTCTTGGAGGCTTCTTTCGTTTCTTTTTACCCTTTTTTCTCTAAAATTCTCTTCTCGCTTCATTTGATTCATTTGATCTTCCATCACTGTTACCCTTTCTTCCAGTTGATCAAATCAGCTACTGAAGCTTGTGCATTCATCACGTAGTTCTTGTGCCATGGTTTTCAGCTCCATCAGGTCATTTAAGGACTTTTCTACACTGGTTATTCTAGTTAGCTCTTGGTCTTATTTTTTTCAAGGTTTTTAGCTTCTTTCCAATGAGTTCAAACTTTCTCCTTTCGATCACAGAAGTTTGATCATCTGAAGCTTTCTTCTCTCAACTTCTCAAAGTCATTCTCTGTCCAGCTTGTTCTCTTGCTGGCGAGGAGCTGCGTTCCTTTGCAAGGGGAGAGGCACTCTGATGTTTAGAATTTTCAGCTTTTCTGCTGTTTTTTTCCCCATCTTTGGGGTTTTATCTACCTTTGGTCTTTGATGATAGTGACGTACAGTTGGGTTTTGGTGTGGATGTGCTTTCTTTTTGTTAGTTTTCCTTCTAACCATCAGGAACCTCAGCTGCAGGTCTGCTGAATTTTGCTGGAGGTCCATTCCAGACCTGTTTGCCTGGGTATCAGCAGCAGAGGCTGCAGAACTGCGATTATTGCTGAACAGCACATTTTGCTGCCTGATCATTCCTCTGGAAGCTTCATCTCAGAGGAGTACCCGGCCATGTGAGCAGCCAGTCTGCCTCTACTGGAGGGTGCCTCTCAGTCTACTCGGGGGTCAGGGACCCACTTGAGGAGGCAGTGTGTCAATTCTCAGATCTCAAATGCCATGCTGGGAGAACCACAGCTCTCTTCAAAGCTGTCAGACAGGGACTTTTAAGTCTGCAGAAGTTTCTGCTTTCTTTTGTTTGGCTATGCCCTGCCCCCAGAGATGGCATCTCTAAGGACAGGCAGGCCTCCTTGAGCTGTGGTGGGCTCCACCGAGATCGAGCTTCTCAGATGCTTTGTTTGCATACTCAAGCCTTAACAACTGCAGGCACCCCACTCCCATCCTTGCTGCCATCTTGCAGTTTTAACTCAGACTGATGTGCTAACAATAAGCAAGACTCTGTGGGCTTGGGACCCTCTCAGCCATGTGTGGGATATAACCTCCTGGTGTGCCATTTGCTAAGACCATTGGAAAAGCACAGTATTAGGGTTGGAGTTACCCAATTTTCCAGGTGCTGTCTGTCACCACTTCCCTTTGTCCTTAATGAGCTTGAAAATATCCATTTGCAGAATGAAGAAAAACAGTGTTTCCAAACTGTTGAATGAAAAGAAGGTTTAACTCTGTGAGATGAATGTGCACATCACAAAACAGTTTTGTGATGGACAAAACTAGTTTTTATCTGAAGTTATTTTATTTTTAACCATAGACCCCAATGCGTCCAAAATATCTCTTTGCAGATACTACAAAAACACTTTTTCCAAAATGGTGAAGGAGATGAAATGTTTAAATCTGCAAGATGAATGCAGACATCGCAAGCCAGTTTCTCAGATAGTTTCCTTCTAGTTTTTATTGTTGGATAGTCGTTTTCCCCTTTGGCCTAATTAGCCTCCAAATGCCCATTAGCAAAGTGGACAAAAACAGTGTTTCCAAACTGATGAATCCACAGAAAGGTTTAATTCTGTGAGATTAATGCACACACCACAAAGCAGTTACTCAGAAAGCTTCTTTCCAGTTTTTGCCTGAAGATAATTTCTTTTTCACCATAGGCCTGAATGAGTTCCCAAATGTCAATTTGCAGATTCTACAAAAACAATGTTTCAAAACTGTTGAATTAAAAGAAAAATTTAACTCCTTGAGCTGAATGCACACATCACAAAGCATTTTCTCAGATAGCTTCCTTCTGGATTTTATCGTGGGATATTCTCTTTTTTTGCCATTGGCCTCAATGAGCTCCCAAATATCACTTCGCAGATCCTTCAAAAACAGTGTTTCCAAATTGCTGAATAAACATAATGTTTTAATTATGTGAGATGAATGCATACATCACAAAGTGGTTTTTCAGATAGCTTCCTCTTAATTTTTATCCTGAGTTTTTCAATTTTTCACCATTGGCCTCAATTCATTCCCAAATATCCCTTTGCAGATTCTACAAAAACTTTGTTTACAAACTACTGTATCAAAAGAATGGTTTAACTCTGTGAGATGAATGCAGACCTCACAAACAAGTTTCTCAGATAGCATCCTTCTAGTTTTTATCGTGGGATATTCACTTTTTTGCCATTGGCCACAATGAGATCTGAAATGTCCACTTGCAGAGTGGACAAAAAGAGTGCTTCCAAACTGATGAATTAAAAGAAAGGTGTACCTCTGTGAGATGGGTGAACATGTCACAAAACGGTTTCTCAGAATGTTTCTTACTCGTTTTTAATCTGAAAATATTTTCCTTTTCACCATAGGCCTCAATGAGCTCCCAAAAATCCCTTCGCAGATTATACAGAAACAGTGTTTCCAAACTTTTGAATGAAAAGAAAGGTTATCTCTTCAAGAAGAATGCACACATCACAAAGCGGTGTCTCAGATAGCATCCTTCTTTTTTTATATTGGGATATTTGCTTTTTCGCCATTGGCATCAATGAGCTCCCAAATGTCCATTTGTAGAATGAACAAAAACAGTGTTTCCAGACTGCTGAATGTAAAGAAAGTCTTAATTCTGAGAGATGAATGTACACATCACAAAGTGGTTTCTCAGATAGCTTTATTCTAGTTTTTTCCTGGGATATTCACTTTTTCATCATTTGTGTCAGTGAGCTCCCAAATGTCCATTCACACAAAGGAGAAGAACAGTGTTTCCAAACTGCTGTATCAAAAGAAAGTTTTAACTCTGAGAGATGAATGCACACATCACAAACCGGTTTCTCAGATATCTTCCTTCTGTTTTTATCCTGGGATATTCACTTTTTCACCATTGTCTTCAATGAGCTTTCAAATGTCCATTCTCACAAAGGCCAAAAAAAGTGTTTCCATACTGCTGAATGAAAGGAAAGGTTTAACACTATGAGATGAATGCACACATCACAAAGCAGTTTCTCAGATAGCTTCCTCTTAGTTTTATAATGGGACTTTGGATTTTTCACCATTAGCCTCAATGAGCCCCCAAAAGTCCATTCACAGAAAGGACAAAAACAGTGTTTCCAAAATACTGAATGTAAAGAAGGTTTAACTCTGTGAGATGAAAGTCCACACCACAAAGTGGTTTCTCACATACATTCCATCTAGTTTTTACCAAGGAATATTCGCTTTTTTGCCATTGGCATAAAGGAGCTCCAAAATGTCCATTAGCACAATGGAGAAAAATAGAGTTTCCAAAATGCTGAATCAAAAAAAGTATAACTCTTTGAGATGAATGCAAATATTGTGAAGCAGTTTCTCAGAAAGCTTCTTTTTAGTTTTTATCTGAAAATGTTTTCATCACAATAGGCCTCAACGTGCTCCCAACTATCCCTTCACAGATTCTACAGAAACAGTGTTTCCAAACTGCTGAATGAAAAGAAAGGATTAACCTGTGAGATGAATTCACACATCACAAAGTGGTTTCTCAGATAGATTCCTTCTAGTTTTTATTGGGGGATAATCACTTTTTCTCCATTTGCCTCAAAGAACCCCTTAATGTCCATTTGCAGATTCTACAAAAACAGTGTTTCCAAACTCCTGAATGAAAAAGAATGAATCAACTCCTCAAGGTGAATAGATACATCACAAATTGGTTTCTCAGATGGCTTCCTTCATTTTTATCCTGGGATATTGGGTTTTTCACCATTAGCCTCAATGAGCTCCCAAATATCCATTCTCAGAATGGACGAAAACTATGTTTTCAAACTGCTGAATGAAAAGAAAGGTTTAACTCTGTGAGAAGAAAGCACACATCACAAAGTGGTTTCTCATATAGCTTCCTCTTAGTTTTTATACTGGGACATTCGATTTTTGGCCACTGGCTTCAATGAGCTCCCAAATGTCCATTCGCAGAATGGAAAAAACAGTGTTTCCAAACTGCTGAATCAAAAGAATGGTTTAACTCTGTGAGATGAATGGACAAAACACGAAGCAATTTCCAGGAATGCTTCTTTCCTGTTTTCCTCTGAAGGTATTTTCTTTTTCACCATAGACCTCAATGAGCTCCCAATATCCTTTCACAGAATGGACAAAAACAGCATTTCCAAACTGCTGAATCAAAAGAAAGATTTAACTGTGTGAGGTGAAGGTACACATCACAAAGCAGTTTCTCAAATAGATTCCTTGTAGTTTTTCCCTGGGATATTCCTTTTTTCACAATTGGCCACAATTTCCTCCCAAATGTCCATTTGCATAATGGACAAAAACAGTGTTTCAAAACAGCTGAATCAAAATAAGGTGTTAACTCTGTGAGATGAATGTGTAAATAACAAAGCAGTTTCTCTGAAAGCTTCTTTCTACTTTTTATCTGAAGATATTTTCTTTTTCACCATAGGTCTCTATGCACCCCAAATACCCCTTCAGAGATTCTACAATAAAAGTGTTTCCAAACTCCTAAAGAAAAGAAAGGTTTACCTCTAAGGTATGAATGCACACAGTAGAAAGCAGTCTCTCAGATAGCATCCTTCTAGTTTCTATCCTCCTATATTAGCTTTTTTGCAATTGGCCTCAATGAGGTCCCAGAAGTCCATTTGCAGAATGGACAAATACTGTTTTTCCAAACTACTGAATCAAAATAAATGTTTAACTGTCTGAGAAAAATGTACACATCACAAAGTGGTTCCTTACATAACTTCTTTCTAGCTTTTATCATAAGATATTTTCTTTTTCACCGGAGGCCTAAATGCACTACCAAATATCCCTTCATAGATTCTACAAAAACAGTTTTTTCAATCTGGTGAATGAAAAGAAAATTTTAACTCTGTGAGTGAATGCACACATCACAAAGCAGTTTCTCAGAAAATTTTTTTGTACTTTTTATCTGAAGGTATTTTCTCTTTCACCATTGGCCTCAATGCACTCCCAAATATCCCTTTGCAGATTCTACAAAAACAGGGTTTCAAAACTGCTGAATGAAAAGACAGGTTTAAATCTGTGAGATGAATGCACACATCACAAAGCAGTTTCTCAGATAGCTTCCCCTTAATTTTTATCTTGGGATATTCACTTTTTTGCAGTTGGTCTCAATGATCTCCCAAATGTCCATTTGCAGAATGAACAATAACAGTGTTTCCAAACTGCTGAATCAAAAGAAAGATTTAGCTCTGTGTTATGAATGCACACATCACAAAGCAGTTTCTTAGAAAGATTCTTTCTATTTCTAATCTGAATTTTTTTTGTCACCATAGGCCCCAATGTGATCCAAATATCCATTCAAAGATTCTGCAAAAACAGTGTTTCCAAACTGCTGAATGAAAAGAAAGGTTTTACTCTGTGAGATGAATACAAAAAACACAAAGTGGATTCTTAGATTGCTTCCTTCTATTTTTTATCTTGGGATATTCAGTTTTTTGCCATTGGCCCCAATGAGCTCCCAATTATGCAGTCACATAGTGGTCAAAAAAAGTGTTTCCAAACTGCTGGATTAAAAGTAAGGTTTAACTCCGTGAGGCAAAAGTCGGCATCACAAAGCACTTTCTCAGAAACCTTCTTTCTAGTTTTTACCTGAAGATATTTTCTTTTTCACCATAGTCCTCAATGCACTCTCAAAAATCCCTTCACAGATTCTACAAAAACATTGTTTCCAAATGCTAAGAGATGAATGCACACAACATAAAGCAGTTTCTCAGAGAGCCTCACTCTAGTTTTTTTCCTGGGATATTCACTTTTTTGTCATTGGCCTCAAATGAGCTCCCAAATGTCCATTCACACAAAGGCTAAAAACGGTGTTTCCAAACTGCTGTATCAAAAGAAAGGTTTAGCTCTGTGAGATGAATGCACACATCACAAACCAGTTTCTCACGTAGATTTCTTCTAGACTTTTTCCTGGAATATTTGCTTTTTCACCATTGACCTCAATGAGCTCCCAAATGTCCATTTGCAGAATGGACAAAAACAGTTGTTTCCATATTGCTGAATCAAAAGAAAGTTTTATCTCTGTGAGATGAAGGCACACATCACAAAGCAATTTCTCAGAAAGGTTCTTTCTAGTTTTTATTTGAAGATACTTTCATTTACTTCATTGGCCTCAATGCAATCCCAAATATAGCTTCACAGATTCTACAAAAACAGTGTTTCCAAACTGCTGAATGAAAAGAAGGTTAAACTCGCTGTCCCTAATGTCCATTCACAGACTGAAAAAAACAGTGCTTCCATACTGCTCAATCAAAAGAAAGTTTTAACTCTGTTAAAATTTTAAATCTGTTAAAACTTAACTGATGAATGAAAAGAAAGGTGTAACTCCGTGAGATGAATGCACACATCTCAAAACAGTTTCTCAGATAGTTTCCTTGTAGTTTTTATCCTGGAATTTTCACTGTTTCACCATTGGCCTCAATGAGCTCACAAATGCCCTTTCCTAGAATGGATAAAAACAGTGTTTCCAAAGTGCTGAATCAAAAGAAAGTGTTGACTCTGTGAAATGGATGCATACATTGCAAAGCAGTTTCTCAGAAAGCCTCTTTTCCATTTTTTTCAGAAGATATTTTCTTTTGCACCCTAGTCCTCAATGCCCTCTGATATGTCCTTTCACTGAAAGGATAAAACCAGTGCTTCCAAACTGTGGAATCAAAAGGAAGATTTAAATGTATGAGTGAATGGACACATCACAAAGACATTTCTGAGATAGCATCCTTCTAGTTTTTATCCTGGGAAATTCACATTTTCACCTTCAGTCTCAATGAGCTCTCAAATGTCTATTTGCAGAATGGACAAACACAGAGTTTCCAAAGAACTGAATGAAAAGTGAGGTTTAACTGCAAGATGAATGCACATATCACAAAGTGATTCCACAGTTAGCTTCCTTTTAGTTGTTATCCTGGGATACTTGATTTTCACCACTGGCCTCAATGATCTCTCAAATGTCCATTCTCTCAATGGACAAAAACAGTGTTTGCAAAGTGCTGAATCAAAAGAAAGTTTTACTTCTATGAGATGAATGCACACATCACAAGGGAATTTCCCAGAAAACTTCTTTCTAGTTTTTATCTGAAGTTATTTTCTTTTTCTCCATAGGCCTCAATCCACTGCCAAATACCCACTCACAGATTTTACAAAAACAGTGTTTCCAAACTGGTGAATGAAAAGAAATTTTTAACTCTGTGAGATGGGTGCACAAATCACAAAGTGGATTCTCAGATAGCTTCCTTGAGTTTTTATCCTGGGATAATGGATATTTTGCCTTTGGCCACAATGAGCTCCGAAATGTCTAGTGGCAGAGTGGTCAAAAACAGTGCTTACAAACTGATGAATGAAAAGAAAGGTGTAACTCTGTGGGATGGGTGCACACATCACAAAGCAGTTTCTCAGAAAGCTTCTTTCTGATTTCTTTCTGAAAACATTTTCCTTTTCACCATAGGCCTCAATGAGCTTCAAAATATCTCTTTGCAGATTCTACAAAAACAGTGTTTCCAAACTGCTGAATGGAAAGAAAGGTTTACCTCTGTGAGAAGAATGCACAAAACACAAAGTGGTTTCCCATATAGCGTCATTCTTTTTTTTATCCTGGGATATTCACGTTTTTGCCATTGGCATCAATGACCTCCCAAATGTCCATTCACAGAATGAACAAAAATAGTGTTTCCAAGCTGCTTAATGAAAAGAAAGGCTTAATACTGAGAGATGAATGCACACATCCCAAACGTGGTTTCTTAGATAGCTTCATTCTAGTATTTTTCCTGGGATATTCACTTTTTTGTCATTGGCATCAATGAGCTCCCAATTTTCCAATCACACAAAGGAGAAGAACAGTTTTTCCAAACTGCTGTATCAAAAGAAAGGTTTAGCTCTGTGAGATGAATGCACACATTACAAACCAGTTTCTCACGTAGATTTCTTCTAGACTTTTTCCTGGAATATTTGCTTTTTCACCATTGACCTCAATGAGCTCCCAAATGTCCATTTGCAGAATGGACAGAAACAATGTTTCCACAGTGCTGAATCAAAAGAAAGTTTTAACTCTGTGAGATGAATGCACACATCACAAAGCAGTTTCAGAGAAAGTTTCTTTCTACTTTGTGTCTGAAGATGATTCCTTTTTCACCATAAGACTCAATGCACTCCCGAGTATCCCTTCACAGATTCTACAAAAACAGTGTATTCAAACAGCTCAATGAAAAGAAAGGTTTAACTCTGTGAGATGAACGCACACATCTCAAAGCAGTTTCTCATAAAGCTTCTCTCTAGTTTTTATGTGAATATATTTCCTTTTCCATCACGTGATTCAATGGGCTCCAAAATTTCACTTTTAAGATTCCACAAAAACCGTGTTTCCAAACATCTCAATGAACAGAAAGGTTCAGTTCTGTGAGATGAATGCACACATCACAAAGCAGTTTCTCAGAAAGCTTCTTTCTAGTTTTTATGTGAAGATATTTCCATTTTCACCATAAGACTCAGTGGACTCCCAAATATCCCTTCACAGATTCTACAAAAACAGTGTTTCCATACTGCTCCATGAAAAGAAAGGTTTATCTTTTAGAGATAAATGCACACTTCACAGAGCAGTTTCATGAAAAGTTTCTTTCTAGTTTTATCTGAAGATATTTTTTTCAACATAGGCCTCAATGCCCTCCCAAATATACCTTCACAGATTTTACAAAAACGAGATCCCAAACTGCTCAATTATAAGAAAGGTTTAATACTGTGAGATTAATGCACACTTCACAAAACAGTTTCTCAAAAAGCATCTTTCCAGTTTTTTGTGAACATATTTCCTTTATCACCATAGGACTCAAAGCACTCCCAAATATTCCTTCACAGTTCCTATAAAAACAGTATTTTCAGACTGCTCAAGCAAAAGAAAGGTTTAACTGTGTCAAATGAATGCACACATCACAAAGCAGTTACTCAGAAAGCTTTTATGTAGTTTTTATGTGAAGATATTTCCTTTATCACCATAAAACTCAATGTGCTCCAAAATATCCCTTTGCAGTTTCTACAAAAATAGTGCTTACAAACTGCTCAATCAAAGAAAGGTTTTACTCTGTGAGATGAATGAACACATCACAAAGCATTTTCTCAGAAAGCTTCTTTCTAGTTAGTATCTGAAGATAGTAGGTTTTACACCATAGACCTCAATGCACTCCCAAATTTCCCTTTGCAGATTCTACAAAAACCATCTTTCCAAACTGCTCAATCAAAAGAAAAGTTTAACTCTATGACATGAATTCACACCTTACAAAGCAGTTTTTCAGAAAGCTTCTTTAGTTTGTATCTGAATATACTGCCTTTCTACCCATGGGCCTCAATGAGCTCCCAAATATCCCTTCACATATTCTACAAAAAAAAGTGTTTCTAAACTGCTCAATCAAAAGAAAGGTTTAACTCTATGAGATAAATGCCCACATTGCAAGGCAGTTTCAGAGAAAGCTTCTTTCTAGTTTTTATATGAAGATATTTCCTTTTTCACCATATGCCTCAAGGTGTTCCAAATATCCTTTTGCAGTTTTTTAAAAAACTGTGTTTCCAAACTGCTAAATCAAAAGGAAGTTTTAACTCTCTGAGATGAATGCTTACATCACAAAACCAGTTTCTCAGAAAGCTTCTTTTTCTTTCATATCTTAAGATAATTTTTCCACCATCAGCCTTGATGCAGATGAACACACACAACTTAAAGCAGTTTCTCAAAAAGCTTCTTTGTAGTTTTTAACTAAAGATGTTTACTTTTTCACCATAAGACTCAAGGGGCACCCAAATATCCCTTTGCAGATTCTACAAAAACAGTGTTTCCAAACTGCCCCGTCAAAAGAAAGTTTTATCTCTTTGAAATGAATGCACACGTCACAAAGCAGTTTCACAGAAACTTCTTTCTAGTTTTATCTGAAGGTATTTTTTCACCACAGGCCTCAATGCCTTCCCAAATATCCCTTTGCAGATTGTACAAAAACAGAGATTCCAAACTGCTCAATCAAAAGAAAGCATTAACTCTGTGAGAGGAATGCACATTTCCAAAGCAATTTCTCAGAAATTATCTTTATAGTTTTTATGTGAACATATTTATCACCACAGGACTCATTGTGCTCCCAAATATCTTTTAGCAGTCCTTACAAAAACAGTGTTTCCAAACTGCTCAATCAAAAGACTGCTTTAACTCTGTGAGATGAACACACACTTCTCAAAACAGTTTCTCAGAATGTTTCTTTCAAGTCTTTATGTGAAGATATTGCCTTTTCCCCGTAAGACTCAATGGGCTCCCAAATATCCCTTTGCAGATTCTACAAAAACAGTGTTTCCAAATGGCTCAATCAAAAGGAAGTTTTAACTCTGTGAGATGAATGCATGCATCACAAAGCTGTTTCTCAGAAAGCTTCTTTCTAGTTTTTATGTGAAGATGTTTCCTTTTTCACCATAAGACTCAATGTGTTCCCAACTATTCCTTTGCAGGTTCTACAAAGTCTTTCCAAACTGCTCAAAGTTTATCTCTGTGAGATGAATGCACATATCATAAAGCAGTTTCACAGAAAGTTTCTTTCTAGTTTGTATCTGGAGATATTTCCCTTTTTAACATAGGCCTCAATGCTCACCCAAATATCCCTGTTCAGATTCTACAAAAACACTGTTTGTGAATGCCTCAATGAAAAGAAAGGTTTAATTCTATAAGACGAATACACACATCACAAAGCAGTCTGTCAGAAAGCTTCTTTCTAGATTTTATGTGAAGATATTTCCTTTTCCACCATAGGTCTCAATGCACTACAAATATATTTTGCAGATTCTACAAAACAGGTGTTTCCAAATTGCTCAAGCAAAAGAAACGTTTAACTCTGTGAGATGCATGCACTCTTCACAAACAGTTTCTTCAGAAAATATCTTTCAAGTTCTTATTTGAACATATTTCCTTTATCACCATGGGACTCTATGCATTCCCAAATATCCCTTCACAGTTTCTACAAAAACAGTGTTTCCAAGGTGCTACATCAAAAGAAAGTTTTATCTCTGTGAGATGAATGCACACATCTCAAAGCAGTTTCTCAGAAAGCTTCTTTATTAGTTTTTATGTGGAATTATTTCCTTTTCACCACATGCCTCATTGTGCTCCCAAATATCCCTTCACAGTTTGTAAAAAAAAAAAGTGTTTCCATACTGCTCAATCAAAATAAAGGTTTAATTCTATGAGATGAATGCACGCAACACAAAGCAGTTTCTAAGAAAGCTGCTTTCTAGTTTTTATATGAAGATATATTCTTTTTCACCATTGGCCTCAATGGGCTCCAAAGATCCTTTTGCAGATGCTACAAAACCAGTGTTTACAAATTGCTCAATCAAAAAGAAGTTTTAACTCTGTGAGATGAATGCACTCATCATAAAGCAGCATCTCATAAAGCCTGTTTTTAGTTTATATCTGAAGATATATCATTTTTCACCATAGACCTAAATCTGCTCCCAAATATCCCTTTACAGTTTCTTCAAAAACAATGTTTCCAAACTGCTCAATCAAAAGAAAGTTTTAACTCTTTGAGATGAATGCACCCCTCATAAAGCAGTTTCAGAGAAAGCTCATTTCTAGTTTGTATATGAAGATATTTCCTTTATCACCATGGGCCTCAATGCGCTCCTAAATATCGCTTCTCAGATTCTGTAAAAACAGTGATCCCAAAACTCTCAATCAAAAGAGAAATTTAACTCTGTGAGATGAATTCACACACCACAAAGCAGTTTTTCAGAAAGCTTATTTCTTATTTTTATGTGAAGTTATTTTATTTTTCACAATAGGCCTCAAAGTACTCCAAATATCTTTCTGCAGATTCTACAAAAACAGTGTTTCCAAACTGCTCAATCAAAAGGAAGGTTTAACTCTGTGGAATGAATGCACTCATCACAAGCACATTCTCAGAAAAATTCTTGTAATTTATATCTGAAGATATTTCCTTTTTCACAACAGGCCTCAAAGCGAAACAAAATATCCCTTTGCAGATTCTACAAAAACAGAGTTTCCAAACTGCTCAATCAAAAGAAAGGTTTAACTCTGTGAGATGAGTGCACACATCACAAGGCAGTTACTCAGAAGGCTTCTTTCTCTTTTTTATACGAACATAATTTCTTTTTTTAATTTTTATTTTATTATTATTATACTTTAAGATTTAGGGTACATGTGCATGATGTGCAGGTTTGTTACATATGTATACATGTACCATGTTGGTGTGCTGCACCCATTAACTCATCATTTAGCATTAGGTATATCTCCTAATGTTATCCCTCCCCCATAATTTCTTTATCACCGTAGAACTCAATGCGCTCTCAAATATGCCTTCACAGAGTCTACAAAAACAGTGTTTCCAATATGCTCAATCAAAAGAAAGCTTTAAATGCATGAGATAAATGCACACATCACAAAGCAGTTTCTCAGAAAGCTTATTTCTAGTTTTCTGTGAAGATATTTGCTTTTTCACCACTGACCTCAATGGGCTCCAAATATCCTTTTGCACATTCTACAAAAACAATGTTTCCTAACTGCTTAATCAACAGGAAGCTTTAACTCTTTGAGATGAATGCACTAATCATAAACCAGTTTCTCAGAAAGCTTCTTTCCAGTTTTTATGTGAAGATATTTCCTTTTGCAAAATAGGCCTCAAAGCGGAAAAAAAAAAACCCTCGCAGATTCTACCAAAACGGTGTTTCTGAACTGCTCATTTAAAAAAAAAGGTTTAACTCTGTGAGATGAATGCAGACATCACAAAGCAGTTTCGGTGAAAGCTTCTTTCTATTTTGTATCTGAAGATATTTCCTTATTCACCATAGGCCTCAATGCACTCTCAAATATCCCTTCGCAGATTCTACAAAAACAGTGTATCCTTACTACTCAATCAAAAGAAAGGTTAAACTTTATGAGATAAAAGAAAACATCACAAAGCAGTTTCTCAGAAAGCTTCTTTTTTGTTTATATCTGAAGATATTTCCTTTTTCACCATAGACTTCAAAGCACAAACAAATATTCCTTCGCAGATACTACAAAAGCAGTGTTACCAAAAGGATCAATCAAAAGAAAGGTTTAACTCTGTGAGATGAATGCACACATCACATAGTAGTTTCAGAGAAAGCTTCTTTCTAGTTTGTATCTGGAGATATTCACACATCACAATACAGTTTCTCAGAAAACATCTTTCTAGTTTTTATGTGAAGGTATTTCCTTCTTCACAATTAGCCTCAATGAGCTCCCAAATATGGTTTTGCAGATTCGAAAAAATAAGTGTTTCCAAATTGCTCAATCAAAAGGAAGGTTTAATTCTGTGAGATGAAAGCACACATCACAAAGCAGTTCCTCAGTGAGTTTCTTTCTAGTTTGTATCCTAAGGTATTTCCTTTCTCACCATAGGGCTCAATGCACTCCCAAATATCCCTTTGCAGATTCCACAAAAACAGTGTTTCCAAACTGCTCAATCAAGAGAAAGGTTTAACTCTGTGAGATGAACTGCACATCACAGAGCAGTTTCAGAGAAAGCTTCTTTCTAATTCGTATCTGAAGATATTTCCTTTTTCACCATGGGCCTCAAAACGTTCCAAAATATCTCCTCACAGATTCTACATAAACAGTTTTCCAAAGCTGCTCAGTGTAAAGAAAGGTTTAACTCTATGAGATGAATGCACACATCACTATGCAGTTTGTCAGAATGCTTCTTTCTAGTTGTTTATGTGAAGATATTTCCTTTTTCTCCATTGGCCTCAAGGTGCTCCCAAATGTCCTTTTGCAGATTCTGAAAAAACAGTGTTTCCAAATGGTTCAATCAAAAGAAAGTTTTAAATCTGTGAGATGAATGCACACATCACAAATAGTTTCTCAGAAAACTTCTTTCCATTTTCTTTGTGAATATATTTTCATTATTAACATGGGACTCAATGTGCTCCCAAATATGCCTTCGCAGTTTGTACAAAAACGGTGTGTCCAATCTGCTCAATCAAAAGAATGGTTTATCATTGTGAGAAGAATGCACACATCACAAAGCAGTTTCTCAGAATGCTTCTTTCTAGTTTGTATGTGAAGATATTTCATTTTTCACCATTGGCCTCAAAGCGCTCCCAAATATCCTTTTGCAGATTCTAAAAAAAAAAAGTTTCCAAATTGCTCAATCAAAAGGAAGGTTTAACTCTGTGATATGAATGCATACCTCACAAAGAAGTTTCTCAGAAAGTTTCTTTCTAGTTTGTATCTGAAGATATTTCCTTTTTCACAGTAAGCCTTAATGTGCTCCCAAATATCCCTCTGCAGATTATACAAAAACAGTGTTTCCAAGCTGCTCTATCAAAAGGTAGGTTTACCTATGAGAGATGTATGCACACATCCAAAGCAGTTTCAGAGAAAGCTTCTTTCTAATTTGTGTTTGAAGATATTTCCTTTTTCACCATAGGTCTCAATGCACTCCCAAGTATCTCTTTGCAGATTCTACAAAAACAGTGTTTCCATACTGCTCAATCAAAAGAGAGGTTTAACTCTATGAGATGAATCTACACATCACAAAGCAGTTTCTCAGATACTTGCTTTCTAGTTTTTATGTGAAGATATTTTCTTTTTCACCATTGGCCTCATTGTGCTCCAAAGATCCTTTTGCAGATCCTACAAAAACACGTTTCCTAATTGCACAATCAAAATGAAGGTTTAACTCTGGGAGATGAATGAACTCATCACAAAGCAGTTTGTCACAAAGCTTCTTTCGAGTTTTTATGAGAAGATAATTCCTTTTTCACCATAGGTCCCAACGCACTCCCAAGTATACTTTTGCATATTCTAAAAATAATTTGTTTCCAAATTGTTCAATCAAAAGGAAGGTTTAACTCTGTGAGATTCATGCATAAATCAGAAAGCAATTTTTCAGAAAGTTTCTTTCTAATTTATGCCTGAAAATATTTCCTTCTTCACAGTAGGCCTCAAAGCAAAACCAAATAAACCCACACAGATTTTACCATAACACTGTTTCCAAACTGCTGAATCTAAATAAAGGTTTACCTCTGTGAGATGAATGCACACATCACAAAGCAGTTTCAGTGAAAGCTTCCTTCAAGTTGCTTTCTGAAGACATTTCCTTTTTCACCATTGGCCCCAATATACTCCCAAATATCCCTCCCCAGATTTTACAAAAACAGTGTTTCCATACTGCTCAATCAAAATAAAGCTTTAACTCTAAGAGATGAATGCAGACATCACAAAGCAGTTTCTAGGAAAGTTTCTTTTTTGTTTATATATGAATATATTTTCTATTTCACCATAGGCCTCAAAGCTCAACACAATACCCCTTCACAGATTCTACAGAAATGGTGTTTCCAAACTGCTCAATCAAAAGAAAGTTTTAACTCTGTGACATGAATGCATACCTCACACAGCAGTTTCAGAGAAAGCTTCTTTCTAGTTTGTATCTGAAAATATTTCCTTTTTCACCATATGCCTCCAGGCACTCACAAATATCCTTTTGCGGAATCTGCAAAAACACTGTTTCCAAATTGCTCAATCAAAATAAAGCTTTAACTCTATAAGATGAATGCATACATCACGAAGCAGTTTCTCAGAAAGCTTCTTTTTGATTGGATGTGGAGATATTTCCTTTTTCACCATAAGACTCAATGGCTCCCAAATATTCCCTTGCAGATTCTACAAAATAGTTTTTCCAAACTGCTCAATCGAAGTAAAGGTTGAACTCCATCTGATGAATGCATACATCACAAAGCAGGCTGTCAGAAAGTTTCTAGTTTTTAGGTGAAGATATTTCCTTTTTCAACATAAGACATAATGGGCTCCAAATTATCCCTTTGCAGATTCTATGAAAACAGTCTTTCCAAGTTGCTCAAAAAGAAGAAAGGTTTAACTCTGTGAGATGAATGCACACATCACAACGCAGTTTCTCAGAAAGCTTCTTTCTAATTTTTATGACAAGATATTTCCTTTTTCACCATAGGACTCAATGTGCTCCAAATATCCCTTTGCAGATTTGACAAAAACAGTGTTTCCAAACTTCTCAATCAAAAGCAAGGTTTAACTCTGTGAGATGAATGCACTGATCACAAAGCAGTTTCTCAGAATGCTTATTTTTAGTTTATAACTGAAGATATTCACTTTTTCATCATAGTGCTCAAAGTGCAAAGAAATATACCTTCACAGATTCTACAAAAACAGTGTGCCAAACTGCTCAATGAAAGGAAATATTTAGCTATAAGAGATGAATACACACATAAAAAGCAGTCTCAGAGAAAGCTTGTTTCTTGTTTGTAACTGAAGTTATTTACTTTTTCAACATAGGCAACAATGTAATCCCAAATATCCCTTCACTGATTCTACAAAAACAGTGTTTCCAAACTGCTTAATCAAAAGTAAGATTCAGCTCTGTGAGATGAATGCACACATCACAAAGAAGTTTCTCAGAAAGCTTCTTTCTAGTTTTTATGTGAAGCTATTTCCTTTTTCACCATTGGCCTCAATGTGTTCCCAATATCCCTTCACAGATTCTATAAAAACAGTTTCCAAACTGTTCAGTCAAAAGGAAGGTTTAACTCTGTGAGATGAATGCACACTTGAAAAAGCAGTTTCTAAGCAATCGTCTTTCCAGTTTTTAAGTGAATATATTCTGTTTATCACTGCAGGACTCAATGCGCTCCCAAATATGCCTTCACAGTTTCTACAAAAACAGTGTTTCTAAAGTGCTCAATCAAAAGAAAGGTTTAACTTAGTGAAGTGAATGAACACATCACAAAGCAGATTCTCAGAATGCTTCTTTCTAGTTTTTATGTGAAGATATTTCTTTTTTCACCATAGGCCTCAAAGCGCAAACAAATATCCCTTCACAGTTTCTACCAAAGCAGTGTTTCCAAACTTCTCTGTCAAAGAAAAGTTTAACTCTATGAGATGAATGCACACATCTTAAAGCAGTTTGTCAGAAAGCTTATTTCCAGTTTTTATGTGAACATATTTCCTTTATCAATGCTGGACTCAATGCGCTCCCAAATATCCCACAGATTCTACAAAAATGGTATTTCAAAACTGCTCAATGAAAAAAGAAATATCATTTTTGCATATTCTACAAAAACAGAGTTCCCAAACTGCTCAATCAAAAGGAAGGTTTCACTCTGTGAGATGAATATTCTCATCACAAAACAGTTTCTCAGAAAGCTTCTTTCTAGTTTGTATCTGAAGATACTTTCTTTTTTGCCACAAGGCTCAATGGGATCCCAAATATCCCTTCACAGATTCCACAAAAACAGTGTTTCCAAACCGTTCTATGCAAAGAAAAGTTTACCTCTATGAGATGAATGCACATATCACAAAGCTGTTTCTCAGAAAGCTTCCTTCTAGTTTGTATCTGAAGATATTTTCTTTTTCACCATAGGCTCCAATGCACTCCAAGTTTCCTTTTGTAGATTCTACAAAAACCGTGATTTCAAATTCCTCAATCAAAAGAAAGGTTTAACTCTGTGAGCTGAATCCACTCACTGGAAAGCAGTTTCTCAGAAAGCTTCTGTTTAGTTTATATTTGAAGATATTTCCTCTTTCAACATAGGCCTCAATGTACTCCAAAATATCCCTTTGCAGTTTCTACACAAACAGTGTTCCCAAACTTCTCAATCAAAAGAAAGTTTTAACTCTGTCTAATGAAGGCACACATCTTAAAGCAGTTCTTCAGAATTTTTTTTATGTGAAGATATTTCCTTTTTCACCATAATACTCAATGGCTCTGAATTTCCCTTTTCAGATCCTGCAAAAATAGTGCTTCCAAACGGCTCAATCAAAGTGAAAGTTACCTCTGTGAGATGAATGCACACAATACAAAGCAGTTTCTCAGAAAGCTTCTTCTAGTTTTTATGTGAAGATATTTCCTTTTTCACCATAGGCCTCCGTGCACTCCTAAATATCCCTTGGCAGATTCACCAAAATCGTGTTTCCATACTTCTCAATCAGAAGAATGGTTTAACTCTATGAGATGAATGCACACATCACAAAGGAGTTTCTCAGAATGTTTCTTTCTACTTTTTATGTGGAGATATTTCCTTTTTCATCATAAGACTCAATATCTCCCAAATATCCCCTTGCAGATACTAGAAAAATTGTTTTTCCAAACCGCTCAATCAAAAGGAATGTTTAACTCTGTGAGATGAATGCACTCATCACAAAGCAGTTTCTCAGAAAACTTCTTTCTAGTTTTTATGTGAAGATATTCCCTTTTTCAACATAAAACTCAATGGGCTCCCAAATATCTCTTAGCAGATTCTATAAAAACAATGTTTCCAAACTGCTCAATCAAAAGAAAGTTTTAACTCTTTGAGATGAATGCACACGTCATCAAACAGCTTCTCAGAAAGTTTCTACTTTGTATATGAAGATATTTCCTTTTTCACCATAGGCCTCAATGTGCTCCCAAATATCCCTTTGCAGATTCTGCAAAAACAGTGTTTCCAAACTGCTTATTCAAAAGAAAGGTTTAACTATATGAGATGAATGCACACACCACAAAAAAGTTTCTCAGAAAAATTCTTTCTAGTTTGTACCTTAAGATATTTCCTTTTCCTCCCTATGCCTCAATGTTCTCTTCCCTTCCCAGATTCTGCAAAGACAGCGTTTCCAAACTGCTCATTCAAAAGAAAGGTTTAACTTTATGAGATGAATGCACACACCACAAAACAGTTTCTCAGAAAACTTCTTTCTAGTTTGTATCTTAAGATATTTCATTTTCCTCCATATGCCTCAATGTTCTCTTTCCTTCCCAGATTCTGCAAAGACAGTGTTTCCAAACTACTCAATCAAAATAAAGGTTTACCTCTATGAGATGACTGCACATATAATAAAGCACTTACTCAGCAAGCTTCTGTCTTATTTTTAATTGAAGTTATTTTCTTTTTCTCCATAGGCTTCAATGCGCTTTCAAATATCCTTTAGCAGCTCCTGCACAAACAGTGTTTCCAAACAGTGAATGAAAAGAAATGTTTAACTCTGCCAGATGAATGTACACAACACAAAGCAATTTCTCACATAGCTTCCTTCTCGTTTTCACCCTTAGGTAGTCCTTTTTTGCCATTGACCTCAAGGAGTTCCAAAAGTCTATTTGTAGAATGGACAAAAAGAGTGTTTGCAAACTACTCAAACAAAAGACATGTTTAAGTCAGCAAGATGAAAGCACACATCTCAAAGAGGTTTCCCAGATAGCTTCCTTCCAGTTTTTATCCTAGGATATTCCTTTTTTCTACCTTGGCCTCAATGATGTCCAAAATGTTTATTTTCACAGTGGACTAAAACAGTATTTCCAAACTGCTGAATCAAAAGAAAGGTTTAACTCTGTGAGATGAATGCACACATTGCAAAGTGATTTCTCAGTTTGCTTCTTTCTCATTTTTAACCTGGGACATTCACTTTTTTGCCATTGGCTTCAATGAGCTCCCAAATGTCCATTCACAGAAGGGACAGAAACAATGTTTCCAAACCACTGAATTAAAAGACAGATTTAAATATGGGAGGTAAATGAACACTTCATAAAGCTGTTTCTCAGATTGCTTCCTTCTGGTGCACCCAAATTTTTTTTTTTGCAGTTTCAACAAAAACAATATTTCCAAGCTGCTGAATGAAAAGAAAAGTTTAACTCTCTGATGTGAATGCACACATCACACAACAGCTTCTCAGAAAGCTTCCCTCCTGTTTTTATCCTGGGATATTCTCTTTTTTGCCACTGGCCTCAATGATCTCCCAAGTGTCCCTTCACAGAATGGAGAAAAACAGTGCTCCAAAACTCCTGAATCAAAACAGATGTTTAACGCTGTGAGATGAATGGAGACATCACAAAGCAGTTTCTCTGAAACTTCCTTCTAATTTTCATTTGAAGATATTTTCTTCTACACCATTGGCCTCAACAATCTCCCAAATGTCCATTGGCAGAATGTACAAAAACAGTGTTTCCAAAAAAGTTGATCAAAAGTAATGATTAAAACTCTGAGACAAATGTGCACATAACAAAGCAGTTTCTGAGATAGCTTCTTTGAAGTTTTTATCATGGGATATTTGCTTTTTCATCATTAGCCACAATGAGCTCCCAAACGTCCATTTGCAGAAGGGGAAAAAAACAGTGTTTCCAAACTGCTGAATCAAAAGAAACGTTTAAATCTGTGAAATGAATGCACACATCACAAAGCAGTTTCTCTGATTTCTTCCTTCTGGTTTTTATCCTGGGATGTTCTCTTTTTCCCCATTGGCCTCAAAGAGCTCCAAAATATCCATTTGCAGAATGAAAAAAAAAAACAGTGTTTACAAACAGCTGATTCAAAAGAAAGGTTTAAGTCTGTGAGATGAATGCACACATCACAAAGCTGGTTCTCAGAAAGCCTCTTTCTAGATTTTATCTGAAGGTATTTTCTTTTTCTCCATAGGCATCAACGTGCTCCCAAATATCTCTTCGAAGACTCTATAAAAATATGTTTTCAAAATGCTGAATGAAAAGAAAAATTTAACTCTGTGAGTGAATGCATATATCACAAAGCGATTTCTCAAATAGCCTCGTTCTAGTTATCCTGCGACATTTATTTTTTTGCCATGGGCCTCAATGAGCCTCAATGAGCTCCATTTGCAGAATGGACAATAACGGTGCTTCCAAACAGCTGAATCAAAAGAAAGGTTTAACTCTGTGAGATGAATGCACACATCACAAAGCAGTTTCTCAGAAAGCTTCTTCTTAGATTTTATCTGAAGATATTTTCTTTTTCACCATAAGCCTCAATATGCACCCAAATATTTTTTTTGCAGTTCCTACAAAAACAATATTTCCAAACTGCTGAAGGAAAAGAAAAGTTTAACTCTGTGTGGCGAATGCATGCATCACACAACAGTTTCTCAGAAAGTTTCCCTCCTGTTTTTATCCTGGGATATTCCCTTTTTCACCCCAGACCTCAAAGAGCTCCTAAATGTTCATTCACAGAATGGAGAAAAACAGTATTTCAAAACTCCTGAATCAAAAGAAAGGTTTAACTCTGTGAGATCAATGGAGACACCACAAAGCAGTTTCTCAGAAAGTTTCCCTCCTGTTTTTATCGTGGGATATTCTGTTTTTTGCCACTGCTCTCGATGAGCTCCCAAATGTCCCTTCACAGAATGGAGAAAAACAGTGTCTCCAAACAGCTGAATCAAAAGAAAGGTTTAACTCTGTGAGTTGAATGCACACATCACAAAGCAGGTCCTCAGAAAGCCTCTTTCTAGATATTATCTGAAGATATTTTCTTTTTCTCCATAGGCATCAATGTGCTCCCAAATATCTCTTCGCAGACTCTACAGAAACATTGTCCCAAAATGCTGAATGAAAAGAAAGATTTAACTCTGTGAGATGAATGTATACATCACAAAGCAGTTTCTCAAATAGCTTCCTTCTAGTTATTATCCTGTGACATTTACTTTTTTAGCCATTAGCCTCAATGAGCTCCCAACTGTCCATTTGCAGAATGGAGAAAAACAGTGCTTCCAAACTGCTGAATCAAAACAAAGTTTTAGCTCTGTGAGATGAATGTGCACACCACAAAGCATTTTCTCAGAAAATTTCTTTAGAGTTTTTATCTGATGATATTTGCATTTTCACCATTGGCCTGAAAGTGCTCCCAAATATCCCGTCACAGATTCTACAAAAATAGCATTTCAAAACTGCAAAATGAAATGAAAGGTTTACCTCTGTGAGATGAATGCACCCATCATACAGCAGATTCTCAGATAATTTCCTTCCAGTTTTTTTTCCTGGGATATTTGCTTTTTAGCCATTGGCCTCAATGAGCTCCCAAATATCCATTTGAAGAACCACAAAAACAGTGTTTCCAAACAGCTGAATCAAAAGAAAGTTTTAACACGGGAAGATTAATGCACACATCACACAGTAGCTTCTCAGATAGCTTCCTTCCAGTTTTTATCCTGGGATATTCACTTTTGTGCCATTGACCTCAATGAGCTCCCAAATGTCCATTCACAGAATGGACAAAAAACAGTGTTTCCAAACTGCTCAGTCAAAAGAAAGGTTTACTCTGCGAGATGAATGCACACATCACAAAGCGGTTTCTCAAATATCATCCTTCTAGTTTTTATCCTGGCATATTTGCTTTTACACCATTACACTTATTGAGCTCTCAAATGTACATTTGATGATTGGACAAAAACAGGTTTCCAAACTACTCACACAAAAGAAAAGTTTAACCCTCTGAGATGAATGCCTGCATCACAAAACAGTTTCTCAGAAAGTTTCTTTCTAGTTTTATATGAAGATATATTCTTTTTCACCATAGTCTTCTATGTGCTCCAAAGTGTCTCTTGGTAGATTCTACAAAAGCAGGATTTCCAAACTGCTGAATCAAAGTAAATGTTTAACTCTGTGAGATGAATGCACACAAAACAAAGCTGTTTCTCAGAATGTCTCTTTCTAGTTTTTATCTGAAGATTTTTTCTTGTTCACCATAGGCCTCAATGGGCTCCCAAATATCCATTCGCAGGTTCTACAAAAACAGGGTTTCCACACTGCTGAATGAAAAGAAAGGTTTAACTCTCTGTGTTGAATGCACACATTACAAAGTGGTTTATCAGATAGCCTCATTCTAGTTTTTATCCTGGTATATTCCCTTTTTTGCCAGTGGCCTCAATGAGCTCCTAAATATCCATTCACAGAATGAACAAACACAGCGTTTCCAAACTGCTGAGTCAAAAGAAAAGTTTAACTCTGTGAGATGAATGCACACATCACAAAGCACTTTCTCAGATAGCTTCCTTCCAGTTTTTCTCCCAGGATATTCACTTTTTCACCATTGGCCTCAATGAGCTCCCAAATGTCTGCTCACAGAATGGACAAAAACAGTTTTTCTAGATTGCCCAGTCAAAAGAAAGGTTTAACACTGTGAGATGAATCCACACAACACAAAGCAGTTTTTCAGGAAGCTTCTTTCTCGTTTTTATCTGAAGATAATTTCTTTTTCACCAGAGGTGTCAATGGGCTCCCAAATTTCCCCTCTCAGATTCTCCATAAGCAGTGTTTCCAAACTGCTGAATGAAAAGAAAGTTTTAACTCTGTGAGGTGAATACACACATCACAAAGCTGTTTCTCTGATAGCTTCCTTCTAGTTTTTATCCTGGGACATTCCTGGGATATTCCTGGGAGCTCATTGAGGCCAATGGTGAAAAAGTGAATATCCCAGGATAAAAACTAGAGGGAAGCTCTCTGAGAAACCACTTTGTGTGACATGCATATATCTCTCTCTCAGGCCAATGGCAAAAGGAAATATCCTAGAATAAAAACCAGAAGGAAGCTTTCTGAGAAAACGCATTGTGTTGTGAGCATTACTCTCACAGAGTTAAACCTTTCTTTTCATTCAGCAGTTTTGAAAAACTGTTAATGTAGAATCTGCAAAGGGATATTTGGGAGTGCATTGAGGCTTATGGTGAAACAGAAAATATTTTCACATAAAAAATAGAAAGAAGCATTCTGAGAAACTGCTTTGTGCTTTGTGCATTCATGTCACAAAGTTAAAACTTTCTTTTGATTCAGCAGTTTTGAAACACTGTTTTTGGAGAAACTGCAAGGGGATATTTGAGAGCTCATTGAGGCTTATGTTAAAAAAGAAAATATCTTCAGATAAAACTAGAATGAAGCTTTCTGTGAAATTTCTTTGTGATGTGTGCATTCATCTAACAGAATTAAACAATTGTTTTGAATCAACAGTTTGGAAACATTGTTTTTGTCCATTCTGCAAATGGAGATTTGGGAGCTTAATGAGACACTAGGTGAAAAGGCATATATCCCAGGATAAAAACTAGAAGGAATCTATCTGAGAAACTACTTTGTGATGTGTGCATTCATCTCACAGTGTTAAATCTTCGTTTTGATTTAGCAGTTTGTAATCACCGTTTTTGTCCATTCTGTAAATACACATTTGGGAGCTCATTGAGGCCAGTGGTGAAAAAGTGAATATCTCTAGAAGAGAGCTATCTGAGAAACCGCCCTGTGATGTGTGCATTCACCTGGCAGAGTTAAACCTTTCTTCTCATGCAGCTGTTTGGATACAAAGTTATTGTAGACTCTGAGAAGAGATATTTGAGAGCACATTGAGGTCTATGGTGAAAAAGAAAATATCTTCAGATAACCGTTAGAAAGAAGAATTCAAAGAAACTGCTTCATGATGTGTACATTCATGTTCAGAGTTAAAACATGCTTTTGATTCAGCAGTTTGGAAACCCGTTTTTGTCCACTCTGCAAATGGATATTAGGGAGCTCTTTGAGGCCAATGGGGAAAAAACAAATATCCCAGGAATAAAACAAGAATGAATTTATCTGAGAAACGCTTTGTGATGTGTGCATTCATCTTGCAGACTTAAACTTTTCTTTTGATTCAGCAGTGTGGAAACACTGTTTTTGTAGAATCTAAGAAGGAATATTTGGGAGCACATTGAGGCCAACAGTGAAAAAGAAAATATGTTCACATGAAAACTAGAAAGAAGTGTTTAAAACAACTGTTTTGTTATGTATACATTCATGTCCAGAGTTAATAATTTTTTTGATTCAACAAGTTGGAAACACTGTTTTTGTCCATTCTGCAAATGGCTATTTGTGAGTTCAATGAAGCCAATGGCAAAAAAGTGAATATCCTCTGATAAAAACTAGATAGAAAGGATACCCTGGGATATTCGCTTTTTTGCCATTGGAATCAATGAGCTCCCAAATATCCACTTTAAAATATCTTTAAAAACAGTGTTTCCAAACTGCTGAAAGAATTGAAAGGTTTAACTCTGTGAGGTGAATCCACAAATGACAAAATGGATTCTCAGCTAGCTTCCTTCTATTTTTTATCCTGGGAGATTTTTTTTTTTTGGCCATTGGCTTCAATGAGTTCCCAATTTTCCATTCACAGAATGGACAAAAACAGTTTTTCCAAACTGCTGAATCAAAAGGAATGTTTAACTCTGTGACTTGAATGCACACATCAAAAGGCAGTTTCTCAGAAAGCTTCTTTCTGGTTTTTATCTGGACATTTTCTTTTTCAAAATAGGCCTGAGTGTTCTCCCAAATATCCTTTCTCAGATTCGACAAAAACAGTGTTTCCAACCTGCTGAATGAAAAGTAAAATTTAACTCTGTGAGATGAATGCACACATCACATCGTGGTCTCTCAGATGGCTTTCTTCTACTTTTTATCCTGGGATATTGGCTTTTTTGCCATTAGCCTGTAAGATTTCCCAAAATGTCCATATGCACAATGGAGAAAAACACTGTTTCCAGACTGCTGAATCTAAAGAAAGGTTTAACACTGTGACATGAATGCTCACATCACAAAGCAGTTTCTCAGATTGTTTCTTTCCAGTTTTTCTCCTGGAATTTTTGCTATTTTGCCATTGGCTTCAATGAGATCCAAAATGTGTGTTCACAGAATGGACAAAAACAGTGTTTCCAAACTGCTGAATCAAAAAAATGGTTTAACACCCTGAGATGAATGCACTCATTAGAGAACAGTTTCTCAGATAGCTATTTTGTAGTTTTTATCTGGGGACTTTAGCTTTTTAGCCATTGGTTTCAATGAGCTCCAAAAAGTACATTCACAGAATGGACAAAAACAGGGTTTCCAAACTGCTGAATCAAAGGAAAGTTTTAAATCTCTGAGATGAATACACACAACAGACAACAGTTTCTCAGAAAGCTTCCTTCTGGGTTTTATCTGAAGATATTTTCTTTTTCACCATAGGCCTCACTGTGATCCCAAATATCCCTTCACAGGTACTACAAAAACAGTGTTTCCTATCTGCTGAATGAAAAGAAATATTTAACTTTGTGAGATGAATGCACACAACATGAAGCAGGTTCTCAGAGAGCTTACTTCCAGGTTTTATTCTGTAATATTCACTATTTCACCATTGGTCTAAGTAAGCTCCCAATCGTCCACTTGCAGAATGGTCGAAAACAGTGCTTCCAAACTGCTGAATCAATAGAAAGTTTTAACTCTGTGAGATGAATGCACACATCAGAAAGTAGCTTATCAGAAAGCTTCTTTCTAGTTTTAATCTGAAGATATTTTGTTTTTTACCATAACCCTCAATGTGCTCCCAACATCCCTTTGTAGATTCTACAGAAACAGGGTTTCCAAACTGCTGAATGAAAAGAAAGGTTTAACTCTCGAAGGTGAATGCACACATCCCATAGTGGCTTCTCATATAGCTTCCTTCTAGTTTTTATCCTGGGATATTTTGTTTTTTGCCAGGCATCAATGAGCTACCAAATGTCCATCTGAAGAATGGACAAAAACAGTGTTTCCAAACTCCTGAAAAAAAAAGTAAGAAACCTTTAACTCTGTGAGATGAGTGGACATATCACTAAGCAGTTTCTCAAATGCTTCTTTCTAGTTTTTATCTGAAGATATTTCCTTTTTCGCCATAGGGCTAAAAACACTCCCAAATATCTCTTTGTGTATTCTACAAAAACAGAGTTTTCCAACTGCTGAATGAAAAGAAAGGTTTAGCTCTGTGAGACGAATGCACACATCACAAAGCAGTTTCTCAGAAAGCTTCTTTATAGTGTTTATCTGAAGATATTATCTTTTTCATAAAAGTCCTCAATTCTCAGCAAAACATTCCCTCACAGATTCTACCAAAACATTGCTTAAAAACTGCTGAATCTAAGCACAGTTTTAACTCTGTGAGATGAATGCACACATCACAAAGCAGTTTTCAGAATGCTTCTTTCTAGTTTTTATGTGAAGATATTTTCTTTTTTGCTATAGTCCTCAGTGTGCTCCCAAATTTCGTTTTTCAGATTCTACAAAAACAGTGTTTCCAAAATGTTGAAAGAATAGAAAAGTTTAACTCTGCGAGATAAATGCACACATCACCAAGTGGTTTCTCAGATAGATTCCTTCCACTTTATATCCTGTTATATTCTGTTTTTTGCCCTTGGCCTCAATGAGCTAAAAACATCAGTTCACAGAATTGATAAAAACAGTGTTCTCAAACTGCTGAATCAAAAGAAAGGTTTAACTCTGCAAGATGAATGCACACATCAAAAAGTGGTTTCTGAGATATCTTCCTTCTAGCGAATATCCTGGAATATTTGCCTTTTTGCCATTGGCCTCAATAAGCTACCAAATGTCCATTCACAGAATGGACAAAAACATTGTTTCCAAACTGCTGAATCAAAAGAAAGGCTTAATTCTGTGAGATTAATGCACACATCACAAAGTGGTTTCTCAGACAACTTTTTCTATTTTTTATCCCGGGATATTCCCTTTTCTGTCATAGACCTCAATGAGCTCCCAAATGTCCATTCGCAGAATGGACAAAAATAGTCTTTCCAAACTCCAGAATTAATAAAAATGGTTTAACTCTGTGAGATGAATGGGCACAGTACAAAGGTGTTTCTCAGAAATCTTCTTACTGGTTTTTATCTACAGACATTTTCTTTTACCCCATAGGCCCCAATGCACTCCCAAATATCTGTTTGCAGATTCTACAAAAACAGAGTTTCCCAACTGCTGAATGAAATTAAAAGTTTAACTATGTGAGATAAATGCACACATCACAAAGCAGATTCTCAGATAGTTCCTTCTAGATTTTATCATGGGAAATTCACTTTTTCACCATTGGCCTCAATGTGCTCCCAAATGTCCATTCACAGAATGGACAATAAGTGTGTTTCCAAACTTCTGAATCAATAGAAAGGTTTATTTCTGTGACATGAAGGCACACATCACAAAGGACTTTCTCAGAAAGCTTCTTTCTAGTTGTTATCTGAAGGTATTTTATTTTTCACCATAGTACTCAATGTGCTCCCAAATATCCCTTTGCAGATTGTACAAAAACAGTTTTTCCAAATCTTTCTTTTGATTGAGCAGTTTGGATACACTCTTTTTGTCCATTCTGTGAAATGACATTTGGAAGCTCATTGAGGAAAATGGCAAAAAAGAAATAACCCCAGATGAAAACTAGAAAGAAATTATCTGAGAAACCACTCTGTGATATCTGTATTTATCTCACAGAGTTAAACGTTTCTTTTCCTTCAGCATATATTGGAGTGCATTGAGGCCTATGGTGATAAAGAAAATATTTTAGGATAAAAACTAGAAAGAAGCTTTCTGAGAAACTGCTAAGTGTTGTGCATATTCACCTCACAGTTTTAAAACTTTCTTTTGATTCAGTACTTTGGAAGCACTGTTTTTGTCCGTTCTGAGAATGGACATTTGGGAGTTCATTGAGGCCAATGGTGAATAAGGGAATACCCCAGGATAAAAACTAGAAGTAAACTATCTGAGAAACTGCTGTTTGATGTGTGCATTCATCTCACAGACTTAAACTATTTTTTTGAATCAGCAGTTTGGAAACACTGTTTTTGTCCATTTGACCAATGGACATTTGGGAGCTCATTGAGGTTAAACTCAACAAAATGAATACACTCAGTACAAAATAGAAAGAAGCTATCTGAGAAACTGTTTGTGAAGTGTGTATTCATTTCATGGATTTAAACATTTCTTTTGATTCAGCAGTTTGTAAGCACTGTTTCTGTCCATTCTGTGAATGGATATTTGGGAGCTGATTGAAGCCAATAGTGAAAAGTGAAAATCCCAGGATTAAAAACTGGAAGGAACCTATCTGAGAAAACGCTTTGTGATGTGTGTATTCATCTCGCAGACTGAAACCTTTTATTTCATTCAGCCCTTTGGAAAAACTGTTTTTGTAGAATCTGTGAAGGGATATTTGGGAGTGCTTTTAGGCTATGGTGAAAAAGAAAATATCTTCAGATAAAAACTAGAAAGGAGCTTTCTTAAAAACTTCTTTGTGAAGTGGGCATTAATCTCACAGAGTTAAACTTTGTTTTGATTCAGCAATTTGGAAACACTGCTTTTGTCCATTCTGTGAATGGACATTTTGGTGCTCACTGACTCCAACAGTAAAAAGGGAATATCCCAGGAAAAAACTACAATTAAGCTATCTGACAAACCGCTTTACAAAGTGTGCATTCATCTGGCAGAGTTAAAGCTTTATTTTCTTTAAGCAGTTTGGAAAGACTGTTTTTGTCGAATCTGAGAAGAGATATTTGGGAGCACATTGAGGCATAAGGTGAAAAATAAAATATCTTCTGATAAAAGCTAGAAAGAAACTTTCTGTGAAGCTGTTTTGTGATGTGTGCATTCATCTTACAGAAATAAAACTTTCTTTTGATTCAGTTGTTTGGACACACTGTTTTTTTCAATTCAGCAAATGGACATTTTTGAGCTCATTGAGGCCAATGGGGGAAAAGTGTATATTGCAGGATAAATACCAGCATGAAACTATCTGAGAAACTACATTGTGATGTGCACATTCATCTCACAGACTTAAACCTTTCTTTACATTGTGCAGTCCAGAAACACTGTTGTTGTAGAATCTGTCAAGGGATATTTGGAAGTGTAAAAAGGCCTATGGTGAAAAAGAAAATATCTTCAGATATAAACTATAAAGAAGGTTCCTGAGAAATTGCTTTGTGATGTGTGCATTCATATCACAGAGTTAAGCCTTTCTTTTGATTCACCAGTTTGGAAACACTGTTTTTGTCCATTCTGCGAATGGATATCTGGGAGCTCATTGAGGCCAATGGTGAAAACGCCAATATCCCAGGATAAAAACTAGAAGAAAGTTATCTGAAAAACCGGTTTTTTATGTGTCCATTCATCTCACACAGTTAAACCTTTCTTTTGATTCAGCATTTTGGAAACACTGTTTTTGTCCACTTGGAGAATGGATTTTTGAGAGCTCATTGAGGCCAAAAGTGAAAAAGTGAATATCACAAGATAAAAACTAGAAGAAAGCTATCTGCCAAACCACCTTGTGATATTCACATTCATCTTGCAGAGTAAAACCTTTCTTTTGATTCAGCAGTTCAGAAACCCTTTTTTTGTCCATTCTGTGGATGGACATTTGGGAGCTCATTGAGGCCACTAGTGAAATAGTGAATATTCCCAGATAAAAACAGGAAGGAAACTATCTGAGAAAATGCTTCATGTTGTGTGTATTCATCTCACAGAGTTAAACCTTTCTTTTGATTCAGCAGTTTGGAAACACTATTTTGTCCATTCTATGAATGGACATGTGGGAGCTCATTGAGGCCAATGGGGAAAAAGCCAATGTCCCAGGGTAAAAACTAGAAGGAATCTATATGAAAAACCACTTTATGATGTGTCCATTCATCTCACACAATTAAACCTTTCTTTTGATTCAGTAGTTTGGAAACACTATTTTTGTCCATTCGGAGAGAGGATATTTGAAAGCTAATTGAGGCAAATAGTGAAAAAGTAAATATCCCAAGATAAAAACTAGAAGGAAGCCATCTGCCAAACTACTTTGTGATGCTCGCATTCATCTTGCAGAGAAAAACATTTCTTTTGATTCAGCAGTTCAGAAACACTGTTTTTGTCCATTCTGTAAGTGGACATTTGGGAGCTCATTGAGGCCAATGGTGAAACAGTGAATATTTCAGGATTAAAAACTGGAAGGAACTTATATGAGAAACTGCTTCATGACGTGTGCATTCTTCTCTCAGAGTTAAACGTTTATTTTGATTTAGCAGTTTTGAAACACTATTTCTGTCTATTCTGTGAATGGAGATTTGGGAGATCATTGAGGCCAATGGTGAAAAAGCAAGTATCCCAGGATGAAAAGTAGAAAGAAGCTATCTGAGGAACTGCTTTATGATGTGCACATTCATTTCACAGAGTTAAAACTCTTTTCATTCAGCAGTTTGGAAACACTGTTTTTGGAGAATCTGTGAAAGGATATATTGGAGTGCATAGAGGCAAATGACAAAAAAAGTGAACATTACAGGATATTCACTAGAAGGAAGCTATCGGAGAAACAGCTTTTTGATTTGTGCATTCATCTCACAGAGTTAAACCTTTCTTTTGATTCAGCAGTTTGAAAACACTGTTTTTATCCATTCTATGTGTGGATGATTTTAGCTCATTGAGGCCAAGGGTGAAAAAGAGAAAGTAACAGGATAAAAACTGGAAGGAAGCTGTCTGAGAAACTGTTTTGTGATGTGTGCATTCACCTCACAGATTTGTATCTTCCTTTTCATTCAGCAGTTGAGAAACACTGTTTTTGTCCATTCTGTGAATGGACATTTGAGAGCTCATTGAGGCCAATGGCAAAAAAGAGAATATCCCAGGATAAAATCTATAAAGAAGCTATGTGAGAAACCACTTTGTGATGTGTGCATTCATCTCACAGAGATAAATCTTCCTTTTCATTCAGAGTTTGGATACACTGTTTTAGTTCATTCTTCAAACAGACATTTTGGAGCTCATTGAAGCCAATGAAGAAAAAGTGAATATCCCAGGATAAAAAGTAGGAGAAAGCTATCTGAGAAACCGGTTTGTGATGTGTGCATTCACCTCACAGAGTTTAAGCTTTGTTTTGATTCAGCAGTTTGGAAATATTCTTTGGCCTATTCAGAGAAAGGACATTTGGGAACTTTTCAAGGACAATGACAAAAAGGCGAATAACCCAGGATAAATACTAGAAAGAAACCAACTGAAAAACTGCTTTGTGATGTGTCCATTCATCTCACATTGTTATACCTTTCTTGTAATACAGCAGTTTGGAAACACTTTTGTTGTAGAATGTGTGAAGGGATATTTGGGAGCGCATTGAGGCCTATGTGAAAAAGAAAATATCTTCAGATAAAAAGTAGAAAGAAGCTCTCTGAGAAACTGCTTTGTGATGTGTGCATTCACCTCACAGTTAAACCTTACTTTTGATTTAGCACTTTCAAAACACTGTTTATCTGCATTCTGCGAATAGACATTTGGGAGATCATTGAGACCAATGGCAAAAAAGCAAATATCCAAGGATGAAAACTAGAAGGAAGCTATCTGAGAAACCACTTTGTGATGTGTGCATTCAACTCACAGAGTGAAACCTTTATTTTCATACAGCAGTTTGGAAACACTGTTTTTGTAGAATCTGCAAATTGATATTTGAGAGCACATTGAGGCCTAAGGGGTAAAAGTAAGTATCTTCAGATTAAAACTAGAAAGAAACTTTTTGAGAAACTGCTTTGTGATGTGTGTATTCATCTCGCAGACTGAAACCTTTTTTTTGATTCAGCAGTTTGGAAACACTGTTTTTGTCCATTCTGCAAATGAACATGTTGGAGCTCATTGAGGCCAATGGTGAAAAAGAGAATATCCCAGTGTAAAAATTAGAATGAAACTATCTGAGAAATGGTTTTGTGATGTGTGCATTCGTCACACAAATTTAAACATTTCTTTTCATTCAGCAGTTTGGAAACACTGATTTTGTAGATTCTGTGAAGGGCTATTTGGAAGTGCATTGAGATCTACTGTGAAAAAGAAAATATCTTTAGATAAAAACTAGAAAGAATCTTTCTGAGAAACTGCTTTGTGATGTGTGCATTCATCTAGAAAAGTTAAAACTTTATTTAGATTCAGCAGTTTGGGAGCACTGTTTCTGTCCATTCTGCGAATGGACATTTGAGAGCTCATTAAGGGCAATGGCAAAAAAATAATATCCCAGGATAAATACTAGAAGGAAGCTATCTGCAAAACCGCTTTGCTATGTGTGCATTCATCTGTCAGAGTTAAAACTTTCCTTTCATTCAGGGGTTTAAAACTGTTTTTGTCCATTTTGCAAATGGACATTTGGGAGCTCATTGTGGTCAATGGCAAAAAAGCAATTATCCCAGGTTAAATACAAGAAACAAGGTATCTGAGAAACCGCTTTGTGATGTGTGCATTCATCTCACAGAGTTAAACCTTTCTTTTGATTCTGGATTTTGGAAACACTGTGTTTGTCCATTCTGGAAATAGTCATTTTTGAGCTCATTGAGGCCAATGGTGAAAAATAAAATATCCCAGCATAAAAACTAGAAGAAAGCTATCAGAGAAACTGCTCTGTGATGTGTGCATTCATCTCACTGATTTAAACCCTTCTTTTATTCAGCAGTTTGGAAACACTGCTTTTGTTCTTCCTGTGAAAGGACATTTTGGAGCTCATTGGGGCCAATGGCAAAAAAGCGAATATCCCAGGATAAAAAAAAAGAATGAAGCTGTCTGAGAAACCGCTTTTTGATGTGTGCATTCACCTGGCAGAGGTAAACTTTCCTTTTCAGTCAGCAGTTTTTGTAGAATCTGTGAAGGGATATTTGCGAGTGCATTGAGGCCTGTGGTGAAAAAGGAAATATCTTCAGATAAAAATTAGAAAGAAGTTTTCTGAGAAACTGTTTAAAGAGGTGTGCATTCCTCTCACAGGGTTAAACCTTTCCTTTGATTCATCAGTTTGGAAACACTGTTTTTGTACATTCTGGGAATAGACATTAGGGAACTCACTGATGCCATTTGTGAAAAACTGTATACCCCAGGAAAAAAAGTGGAAGGATATTATCTGAGAAACCCCTTTGTGAAGTCAGCATTTGTCTGTCAGAGTTAAATCTTTCTTTTCATTCAGAAGTTTGGAAACACTGTTTTTGTTGAATCTGCCAAGTAATATTAGGGAGTACATTGAGGCCTAGGGTGAAAAAGAAAATATATTCAGATAAAAACGAAAAGAAGCTTTCTGAGAAACTGCTTTGTGATGTGTGCATTCATCTCACTGAGTGAAAACTTACTCTTGATTCAGCAGTTTGGAGACCCTTTTTTGTGCATTCTGTGAATGGACATTTAGGAGCTCGTTGAGTCCAAAGGTGAAAAAGTGAATATCTGAGGATAAAAACTACTAGGAAGTTATTGTGAAACCGTTATGTGATGTCTGCATTTATCTCACAGAATTAAACCTTTCTTTTCATTCATCAGTTTGGAAACACTGTTTTTGTGGAAACTGCCGAGGAATATTAGGGAGTTCATTGAGGCTTAGGGTGAAAAAGAAAATATCTTCAAATAAAAACTAGAAAGATGGTTTCTGAGAAATTGCTTTGTTATATGTGCATTCATCTCACAGAGTTACACCTTTCTTTACCTTCAGCAGTTTGTAAACACTGTTGTTGTCCATTCTGACTATGGACATTTGGGAGGTCTTTGAGGCCAAAGGTGAATAAGTGAACATAACAGGATAAAAATTAGGAGGAAGCTATCTGAGAAACCGCTCTGTGTTGTCTGCTTTTATCTCATAGAGTAAAACCTTTCTTTTCATTTGTCAGTTTGGAAACACTGTTTTTCTGGAATCTGCTAAGTAATATTAGGTAGTGCATTGAGGTCTATGGTGAAAAAGAAAATATATTCAGATTAAAACTTGAAAGAAGCTGAGAAACTGCTTTGTGATGTGTGCATTCATCTCTCAGAGTTAAACTTTTCTTTTGATTCAGCAGTTTGGAAACACTTTTTGTCCATTATGTGAGTGGACATTTGGGAGCTCTTTGAGGTCAATGGTGAAAAAGTGAATATCCCAGGATAAAAACTAGAAGGAAGCTATCTGAGAAACCACTTTATGATGTGTGCATTCATATCACAGAGTTAAATTCTTCTTTTCATTCAGCAGTTTGGAAAAATTTTTTGTTTGAATCTGCCAACGAATGTTTGGGAGTGCGTTGAGGACTACGTTGAAAAAGAAAATATGTTGAGATAAAAACCAGAAAGAAGCTTTCTGAGAAAATGCTTTGTCATGTGTACATTCCTCTCACAGAGTTAAACCTTTCTTTTGATTCAGCAATTTGGAAACACTGTTTTTGTCCATTCTACAAATGGACATTTGGGAGCTTGATGAGGGCAAAGGCAAGAAAGCCAATATTGAAGGATAAAAACTAGAAGGAAGCTATCTGGAAAATATCTTTGTGATGTGTGCATTCATCTCACAGAGTTAAACCTTTCTTTTGATTCAATTGTTTGGAAACACTGTTTTTGTCCATTCTCTGAATGGACATTTTGAAACTCGTTGAGGCCAATGGTGAAAAAGTGAATATCTCAGAATAAAAACTAGAAGGAAGTTATCTGAAAAACCACCTGGTTTGGTGTTCATTCAACTCTCAGAGTTATAACATGCTTTTCATTCAGCAGTTTTGAAAAACTGATTTTGTAGAATCTGTGAAGGGTTATTTGGGAGCGCATTGAGGCCTATGGTGAAAAAGGAAATATCTTCAGATAAAAACAAGAAAGAAGCTTTCTGAGAAACTGCTTCATGAGGTGTGCTCTCATCTCAAACAGATAAACCTTTCTTTTGATTCAGCAGTTTGGAAACACTGTTTTTGCCCTTATGCGAATGGACACTTGCGAGCTCCTTGAGGTCAATGCCATAAAACTGAATATCACAGGACAAAAACTATAAGGAAGCTATCTGAGAAACTGCTTCGTGATGTGTACATTCACCTCATAGAGTTAAACGTTTATTTTCACTCAGCAGTTGCTAAACAATGTTTGTGTAGAAACTGCAAAGGTATATTTGGGAGCACATAGAGGCCTATGGTGAAAATGAAAATGTCTTCAGATATACATTATAAAGAACCTTTCTGAGAAACTGCTTTGTGATGTGTGCTTTTATTTCACAGAATTAAACCCTCCTCTTGACTCACCTGTTTGGAAACACTGTTTTTGTCTATTGTAAGAGTGGACATTTGGGAGCTCTTTGTGGCCAATGGAGAAAAAGCAAATATCCCAAGATAAAAACTAGAAGGAAGCTATCTGAGAAACTGCTTTGTGATGTGGGCATTCATCTCACAGAGTTAAACCTTTCTTTTCACTCAGCATTTTGGAAACACTGTTTTCTAGGATCTGTGAAGGGACATTTTCGACCACATATAGGCCTATGTTGAAAAAAATTTTTCAGATACTAACTAGAAAGTATGTTACTGAGAAACCGCTTTGTGACATGTGCATTTTCTCACAGAGTTAAACCCTTCTTTTCATTAAGTAGTTTGGAAACACTGTTTTTGTACATTCTGTGAATGCACATTTAGGAGCTCACTGAGGCCAATGGCAAAAAAGGAGTATCCAAGAAAAAAAACAGGAAGGAAGCTGTCTGAGAATCCACTTTGTGATGTGCATTCACCTCACAGAGTTAAACCTTTGTTTTCATTCAGCAGTTTGGAAACACTGTTTTTGTAGAATCTGCAAAGAGATATTTGGGAGGGCAATGAGAGCTAAGGCAAAAAAGCAAACATCCGAAGAAAAAAACTAGAAATAAATTATCTGAGAAATGGCATTATGAAGTGTGAATTCATTTTACAGTGTTAAACCTTTATTTTCATTCAGTAGTTTGGAAATGCTGCTTTTGTCAAATCAGCAAAGGGATATTTTGGAGTGCATTGAGGCCAATGGTGAAAAAGAAAATATCTTCAGATAAAAAGTAGAAGGAAGCTTTCTGAGAAACTGCTTTTTGATGTGTGCATTCATCTCACAGAGATAAACTTTCCATTGATGCAGCAGTTTGGAAACACCAGTTTGTCTTTTCTGTGAGTGGACATTTGGGAGATCATAGAGGCCACTGGAGAAAAAGCAAATATCCAGACACAAAAACTAGAAGGAAACTATCTGAGAAAATGCTTTGTTACGTATGCATTCACCTCGCAAAGTTAAACCTTTTTTTCATTAAGCAGTTTGGAAACAATGATTTTGTAGAATATGTGAAGGCATATTTGGGAGCATTTTGAGACTATGGTGAAAAAGAAAATACAGACAAAAACTAGAAAGAAGCTTTCCGAGAAACTGCTTTGACAGGTGTACATTCCTCTCACAGCTAAACCTCTCTTTCGATAAAGTAGTTTGGAAACACTGTTTTTGTCCATTCTGTGAATGGACATTTGGAATCTCATTGAGGCCAATTGTGAAAAAGTGAATATCCCTGGATAAAAACTAAAAAAAATCTATCTGAGAAACTGCTTTGAGATGTGTGCAATCATCTTGCAGAGTTAAATCTTTCTTTTCAATCAGCAGTTATCTGCAAAGGGATATTTGGGAGTGCTTTGAGGCCTATGGTGAAACAGAAATCATCTTCACATAAAAACTAGAAAGAAGCTTTCTGATAAACTGCTTTGTGACGTGTGCATTCATCTTACAGACTTTACCTTTCCTTTTCATACAGCAGTTTGGAAACACTGTTTTTGTCCATTCTGGGAATGGAAATTTGCAAGCTCATTGAAGCCAGTGGTGGAAAAGCGAATATCCCAGGATATAAACTAGAAGGAAACTATCTGATAAATAACTTTGTGTTGTGTACATTCAGATCAGAGTTAAACCATACTTTTGATTCAGCAGTTTGGGAACACATTTTTTGTCCAATGTGCAAATGGACAATTGGGAGCTCATTGAGGAAAATGGAAAAAGGAGAATATCCCAGGTTAAAAACTACAACGAAGCTATCTGAGAAACCATTTTGTCATGTGTGCATTCACCTCGCAAAGTTAAACCTTTCTTTTCATTCAGCATTTTGGAAACACTGTGTTTGTACAATTGGTGAAGGGATATTTGAGGGTATATTGCACCCTATGGTGAAAAAGAAAATAGCTTCAGATAAAAACTAGAAGGAACCTTTCTGAGAAACCACTTTGTGATGTGTGCATTCGTCTTACAGAGTAAAACCTTTCTTTTGATTCAGCACTTTGGAAACACTGTTTTCATCCTTTCTATGATTGGTCATTCAGAAGCTCATTGAGGCCAGTGGTGAAAAAGCTAATATCCCAGGATAAAAACTAGAATAAAACTATCTGAGAAACCACATTGTGATGTGTGCATTTGTCCCACAGATTTAAACCTTTCTTTTTCATAGAATCTGTGCAGGACTATTTGTGTGTACATTGAGGCCTAAGGTGAAGAAGAAAATGTCTTCAGATAAAAACCAGAAAGAAGCTTTCTGAGAAACTGCTTTGTGATGTGTGCATTCATCTCACAGAGTTAAAACTTTCTGTTGATTCAGCAGTTTGGAATAACTGTTTTTGTCAATTCTGCAAATGGAAGTTTGGGAGCTCATTCAGGCCAAAGGCAAAAAAAGTGAATATCCCAGAATAAAAATTAGAAGAAAGCTGTCTGAGAAACTGCATTGTGATGTGTGCATTCAACATGCAGCGTTAAACCTTTCTTTTCTTTGAGCAGTTTGGAAACGCTGTTTTAAAGAATCTGCGAAGGGATATTTGGGAGCCCATATAGACCTAGGTTGAAAATAACTTCAGATAGAAACTAGAAAGAAGCTTTCTGAGAAGCAGCGTTTTGATGCGTGCATTCATCTCACGGAGTTACCACTTTCTTTTGATTCAGTGGTTTCAAAACACAGTTTTTGTCCATTCTGCAAATTGACATTTGGGAGTTCGAGGCCAGTGGTGAAAAAGCATATCCTAGGATAAAAACTAGAAGGAAGCTCTCTCAGAAACTGTTTTTTGATGTGTGCATTCATCTCGCAGATTTAAACCTTTCTTTTCCTTCAGGAGTTTGGAAACACTGTTTCTGTCCATTCTGTGAATGAACATTTGGGAGCTCATGGAGGCCAATAGCAAAAAAGCGAATATCCCTGGATAAAAAAAAGGAAGATATCATGGAAAAGGCATTGTGATGTGTGCCTTCATTTTGCAGAGATAAACCTTTCTTTTCATTCAGCATTTTTAAAACCTTATTTTTGAAGAATCAGCAAAGGGATATTTGGGAGCACATTGAGGCCTATGGTGAAAAGGAAAATATCTTCAGATAAAAATTAGAAAGAAACTTTATGAGAAACTGCTTGGTGATGTGTGCATTCATCTCATAGAGTTTCACTTTCTTTCAGTTCAGCAGTTTAAAAATTCTGTTTTTGTCCATTCTGTGAATGGACATTTTGAATCTGATTGAAGCCAGTGGTGAAAAACTGAATATCTCAGGAAAAAAATTAGAATGAAGCTATCTAAAAACCCACTTTGTGTTGTGTGCATTAACCTCAAAGAGTTAAACTTTTCTTTTCATTCAGCAGTTTGGAAACACTGTTTATGTAGAATACGCAAAAGAATATATGGGAGCATATTGAGGCTTATGTTGCAAAGGAAAATATCTTCAGATAAAAACTAGAAGGAAGCTATCTGAGAAACTGCTTTGTGATGTGTGCATTCATCTCACAGAGTTAAAACTTCCTTTGTACTGAGCAATTGGGAAACCCAGTTTTTGCCCATTCTTTGAATGGGCATTTTGGAGATATTTGAGGCCACTGGTGAAAAAAAGAATATCCCAGGATAAAAAATAGAATGAAGCTATCTGAGAAACCCCTTTGTGGTGTTCACATTCATCTCACACAGTTAAACCTTTCTTTTCATTCAGCAGTTTTGAAAGGCTGTTTTGTAGAATATTCAAAGTGATACTTGAGAGGGCATACAGGCCTATGTTGAAAAAGAAAATATCTTCACATAACAAAAATAAGGAAAGTTTCTGAGAAACTCCTTTGTGATGTGTGCATTTGCCTCACAGATTTGAACTTTTCTTTTCATTCAGGAGTTTGGAAAAACTGTTTTGGAAGAATCTGCAAAGGGTTACTTGGGAGTGCATTGAGGTTATGGTGAAAAAGAGAATGCATTCATATAAACAGTAGAAAGAATCTTTCTGAGAAACTTCTTTGTGATTTGTCCATTAAACTCACAGAGTTAGACATTTCTTTTGACTTAGCAATTTGTAACACTGTTTTTTTGTCCATTCTGTGAATGGATATTTGAGAGCTCATTGAGGTCAATGGCAAAAAAAGCAAATATTCCAGGATAGAAATTAGAAGAAAACTATCTGAGAAACCACCTTGAGATGTGTGCATTCATCTCTCAGAGTTAAACTTTCTTTTCATTCAGCAGTTTGCAAACACTGTTTTGTAAAACCTGCACAGGTATATTTGGGAGCCCATGGTGAAAAAGAAAATACCTTTATGTAAAAACTAGAAAGAAGCTTTCTGAGAAACTGATTTTTGATGTGTGCCTTCATCTCACAGAGTTAAACCTTTCTTTTCATTCAGCATTATGGAAACACTGTTTATCCAGAATCTGTGAAGGGATATTTGGGAGCACATTGAGGCCTATGGTGAAAAAGAAAATATCTTCAGGTAAAAACTGGAACTAAACTTCCTGAGAAACTCCTCTGTGATGTGTGCATTCATCTCACAGTTAAACCATTCTCACTCAGCAGTTTAGGAACACTATTTTTGCCTATTCTTTGAATGGACTTTTTGGAGCTTATTGAGGCTAATGACAAAAAAGCAAATATCCCTAAATAAAAACTAGAAGGAAGCTATCTGAGAAGCCACATTGCAGTGTTCGGATTCATCTCACAGACTTTGGAAACACTGTTTTTGTAGTAACTGCAAAGGGACATTTGGGAGCACATTCAAGCCTATGGTGAAAAAGTAAATAAATTCAGATTAAAAACTAGAAAGAGGATTTCTGAGAAACTGCTTTCTGATGTGTGCACATAAATTGTCTTACAGAGTTAAACCTTTCATTTGATTCAGCAGTTTGGAAACACTGTTTTTCTCCATTCTGCAAATGGACATTTGGGTGCTCATGGAGGCCGATAGCAAATAAGAAAATATTCCCAGAAAAAAACTGGAAGGAAATTATCTTAGAATCCTTTTTGTGATGTATGCAGTCATCTCACAAAATTAAACTTTTTTTTCATTCAGCAGTTTGGAAACACCACTTTTTCCTTACTGTCAATGGACATTTGGGAGCGCATTGAAGCCAATGGCAAAAAAGCACATATCAAAGGATACACACTGGAAGGAAGATGTCTGAGACACCACTTTGAGTTGTGTGCATTCATCTCACAGAATTAAACCTTTCTGTTCTCTTTTTAAATTTTACTTTAAGATCTAGGGCACAAGTGCACAATGTGCAGGTTTGTTACATATGTATACATGTGCCATGTTGGTGTGTGTACCCGTTAAATCATCATTTATATTAAGTATATCTCCTAATGCTATCCCTGCCCCCTCCACCGACCCCATGACAGGCCCTGGTGTGTGATGTTCCCCTTCCTGTGTCCAAGTGTTCTCATGGTTCAACTCGCACCTATGAGTGAGAACATGCAGTGTTTGGTTTTCTGTCCTTGTGATAGTTGGCTGAGAATGATGGTTTCTGCACGAGAATGGTAGAATCTGCACAGGGATATTTGGGGTTGCATTGAAGCCTATGGTGAAAAAAGTGAACATCCCAGAACGAAAACTAGAAGGAAGCTATCTGAGAAACCACTTTGTGATTGGTTCATTCATCTAGCAGAATTAAACCATTATTTTCATTCAACAATTTGGCAACAATGCTTTTCTGGATCTGCAAAGGGCTATTTGGGAGAGCATTGAGTCCTATGGTTAAAAAGAAAATATCTTCACATAAAAACAATAAAGAAGATTTCTGAGAAACTGCTTTGTCTTGTGTGCATTGAACTCCCAGAAATAAAAATTTCTTTTGATTCAGCAGTTTGGAAATACTGTTTTTGTCCCTTCTGTGAGTGGATATTTGGGAGCTTTTTGATGCCAATGGTGAAAAAGCAAATATCCCAGTATAAAAACTAGAAGGAAGCTATCTAGAAACCACTTTGTGATATGTCCATTCATCCCTCAGAGTTAAACCTTTCTTTTCAGTGAGCAGTTTTGAAACAGTATATTTTAGAATCTGCAAAGGGACTTTTAGGAGTGCATTGAGGACTATGTGTAAAAAGAAATATCTTCAGATAAAAACTAGAAAGAAGCTTTCTGAGAAACTGCTTTGTTATGTATACATTCCGCTCACACAGTTACACCTCTGTTTACATGCAAAAACTTGTAAACACTGTTTTTGTCCATTTCTGTGAATGTGTATTTGGGAGCTCGTTGAGGCCAATGGAATTAACGAATACACTTGGATCAAAACTACAAGGAAGCTATCTCAGAAACCGCTTTGTGATGTCTGCATTAGTCTCACAGAGTGAAGCCGTTCTTTTCATTCAGCAGTTTGGAAACACTGTTTCTGTAGAATCTGTGAAGGGATATTTGGGAGCGTATTGAGGCCTATGGTGAAAAAGAAAATATCTTCAGATAAAAACTAGAAAGCTTTCTGAAAAACTGCTTTGGGACGTGTGCATTCATCTCACAAATTTAAACCTTTCTTTTGATTCAGCAGTTTGGAAACTGTATTTCTCCATTGGGGAAATGGACGTTTGGGAGCTCATTGAGGCCAATTGTAAAAAAGCAAGTATCCCAGGATAAAATCTTGAAGGAAGCTGTCTGAGAATCTGCTTTGTCATGTGTGCCTTCATCTCACAGAGTTAAACCTTTCTATTCTTTCAGCAGTTGGAACACTGTTTTTAAAAAATCTGTGATGGGATATTTGGGAGTGCATTGAGACCTATTGTGAAAAAGAAAATGTCTTCAGAAAAAAACCAGAAAGAAGTTTTCTGAGAAACTGCTTTGTGATGTGTGCATTCCTCTCAGAGAGCTAAACCTTTCTTTTGATTCAGTAGTTTGGAAAAACTGATTTTGTCCATTCTGCGAATGGACATTTGGGAGATCATTGAAGCCAATGGTCAGAAATAAAATCTCCCATGATAAAAAATAGAAGGAAGCTATCTGAGAATCCACTTTGTCATGTGTGGATTCACCTCGCAGAGTTAAACCTTTCTATTCATTCAGCAGTTTGGAAACACTGTTTTTAAAGAATCTGCAATTTGATATTTGGAAGCTCATTGAGGACTATGGTGAAAAAGAAAATATCTTCAGATAAAAACTAGAAGGAAGCTTTCTGAGAAACTGCTTTGTGAAGTTTGCATTCATCTCATAGAGTTAAACCATTCTTTTGATTCAGCAGTTTGGAAACACTCCTTTTGTCAATTCTGCATATGAACACTGGGATCTCGGTGAGGCCAATGGCAAAAAAGTGAATATCCCAGGATAAAAACTAGAAGAAATATATCTGAGACACCTCTTTACAAAGGGTACGTTCATCCCACAGAGTTAAACCTTTTTTTCCCATTCAGCAGTTTGGAAACACTGTTTTTGTATAATCTGCAAAGGGATATTTGGGAGCACCTTGAGGTCTATGGTGAAAATAAAGTAAATTCAGATAAAAACTAGAAGAAGCTTTCTGAGAAACTGCTTTCTGATATGAGCATTCATCTCACAGAGTTAAACTTTCTTTGATTCAACTGTTTTGAAAGACTGTTTTTGTCCATTCTGTGAACGGACATTTGGTACCTCATTGAGGCCAACATCAAAATATTGAATATCCCATGATAAAAACTACAATAAAGCCCAATAAAGCAGTCTGAGAAACCGTTTTGTGATGTGTGCATTCATCTAGCAGAGAAAAACCTTTCTTTTGATTCAGCTGTTTGGAAACACCGTGATTGTCCATTCTGTGAATGGATATCTGAGTGCTCATTCAGTCCAATGGTGAAAAAGCAATGATCTCAGGATAAATAGTGGAAGGAGGCTGTCTTAGAAACCACTTTGTGATGTGTCCATTCATCTCCCACAGTTAAACCTTTCTTTTGATACATCATTTTGGAAACACTGTTTTTGTACAATCTGGGAAGGGGTATTTTGGCGTGCATTGAGGTCTATGGTGAAAAAGAAAATACGTTCAGTTGAAAACTAGAAAGAAGCTTTCTGAGAAACTGCTTTGTGAGGTGTGCATTCTTCTCACAGTGTAAAACCTTTCTTTAGATTCAGCAGTTTGGAAACACTGTTTTTGTCCATTCTGCCAATGGACATTTGGGAGCACATTGAGGCCAATAGCAAAAAAGTGAGTATCCCACAGTAAAAACTAGAAGGAAGCAAACTGAGAAACCAGTTTGCATTGTGTGCAAACTGTCTCCCACAGTTAAACTTTTCTTTTGATTCAGCAGTTGGAGACACTGTGTTTGTCCATTCTGTGAATGCACTTTTGGGAGCTCATTGAGGCCAATGGTGAAAAAAGCAAATATCCCAAGATAAAAACTGGAAGGAAGCTATCTGAGAAACTGCTTCATGATGTGTGCACTCATAAGTCAGTGTTAAACATTTCTTTACATTCAGCAGTTTGGAAACACTGTTTTTGTAGAATCTGTGTAAGGATATTTGGAAATGCATTGAGGTATATGGTGAAAAAGAATATATCTTCAAATAAACTTAGAAAGAAACTTTCTGAGAAACTGCTTTGTGACATGTGGATTTATCTCACAAAGTTAAAACTTTTTCTCATACAGCTCTTTGGAAACACTGTTTTTGTCCATTCTGCAAATGGACATTTGGGAGCTCATTGAGGCCAATGGCGAAAAAGTGAATATCTCAGAATAAAAACAAGAAGGAAGCTGCCTTAGAAACCATAATGTGATGTGTGCATTCATCTCGCATAGTTAAACCTTTCTTTTGATACAGCAGTTCAGAAACACTTTTTGTCCATTCTGCAAATGGACATTTGGGAGCTCTTTGAGGCCCATGGCAAAAAAGTGAAAATCCGAGGTTAAAAACTGGAAGGAATCTATCTGAGAGCCCGCTTTGTGATGTGAACATTCATCTTGCAGAGTTAAACTTTTTTTGATTGAGCAGTTTGTAAACTTTGTTTTTGTCCATTCTGTGAATGAACACTTGGGAGCTCATTGAGGCCAATGGTGAAAAAGTTAATATCCCAGGATAAAAACCAGTAGGAAGATAACTGAGAAATAACTTAGTGATGTACGCATTCATTTGGCAGAATTAAACCTTTATATTTATTCAGTAGTTTGGAAGCACGGTTTTTGTAGAATCTGTGAAGGGATCTTAGGGAGCACATTCAGGCCTTCAGTGAAAAAGAAAATATATTCAGATAAAAACTAGAAAGAAGATTTCAGTGAAACAGCTTAGTGATGTGCAAATTCATCTCACAGAGTTAAAAAAATTCTATCATTCAGCAATTTGGAAACACTGTTTTTGTAGAACCTTCAAAGGGATATTTGGGAACACATTGAGACCTATAGTGAAAAACAAAGTATATTCAGATGAAAATTAGAAAGAAGCTCTCTAAGAAACTGCTTTGTGATGTGTGCATTCATCTCACAGAGTTAAACTTTTCTTTTGATTCAGCAGTTTGGAAAAACTGTTATTGTCCATTTTGTGAATGGACATTTTGGAGCTCACTGATGTCAATGATGAAAAAGCAAATATCACAAGATAAAATCTAGAAAGAAGCTATCTGGAAACTGCTTTGTTATGTGTGCATTCATCTCACAGATCTACATCTTTCTTTGGTTCAGTAGTTTGGAAACACTGTTTCCGTCCATTCTGCTCAAGGATATATGAAAGCTCATTGAGGCCAATGGTGAAAAAGCTAATATCCAAGGATAAAAACTGGAAGGAATCTATCTGAAAAACGGCTTTGTGATGTCTGCATTCATCTTGCAGAGTTAAACTTTTCTTTTGATTGAGCAGTTTGGAGGCTCTGTTTTTGTCCATTCTGCAAATGGACACTTGGAAACTCATTGAGGCCAATTGCAGAAAAGTGAATATCCCATTATAAAAGCTAGTAGGAAGCTATCTGAAACACTGCTTTGTGATGTGTGCACTCATCCTGCAGAATTAAACTTGCCTTTTCATTCAGCAGTTTGGAAGCACTGTTTTTGTAGAATCTTCAAAGGGATATTTGGGAGTGCATTGAGGCCTACATTGAAAAAGAAAATATCTTCAGATAAAAACCGGAAGGAAGCTTTCTGAGAAACTGACATTTGAAGTTTGCATTCATCTCATAGAGTTAAACCTTTCTTTTTATGGTGGTTTGAAAGTACTCTTTTTGTCAATTCTGCATATTAACATTAGGGATCTCAGTGAGGCCAATGGCAAAAGAAGGAATATCCCAGGAAAAAAACTGGAAGAACCTATCTGAGAAACTGCTTTACAAAGTGTGCATTCATCTACCAGAATTAAATCTTTTTTTCATTCAACAATATGGAAACACTGCTTCTGTAGAATCTGTGAAGGGATATTTTGGAGTGTCTTGAAGTCTATGGTGAAAAAGAAAGTAAATTCAGATAAAAACTAGAAGTTTTCAGATAAACTGCTTTCTGATGTGTGCATTCATTCTACAGAGTTAAATATTTATTTGATTCAGCAGTTTTGAAACACTGTTTTTGTCCATTCTGTGAATGGACATTTGGAAGCTTATTGAGGCCAATGTTGAAACAGCAAATATCCCAAGATTAAAACTACAATAAAGTAGTGTGAGAAACTGCTTGGTGATATGTGCAGTCATCTAGCATTGATAAATCTTTCTTTTTGATTCAGCTGTTTGGAAACACTGTGATTGTCAATTCTGCGAATGGACACCTGGTATGTCATTGAGGCCAAGGGAGAACAAATGAATATCACAGGATAAAAACTAGTAGGAAAATATCTGAGAAAACCCTTTGTGATGTACGCATTCATCTGGCAAAATTAATCCTTTATTTCATTCAGCAGTTTGGAAGCACGGTTTTTGGAGAATCTGCAAAGGGATCTTAGGGAGCACATTCAGGCCTACAGTGGAAAAGAAAATATCTTCAGGTAAAAATTAGAAAGAAGGTTTTGGTGAAACAGCTTTGTGATGTGTGCTTTCATCTCACAGAGTTAACCATTTTATCATTCAGCAGTGTGGAAACATTGCATTTGGAGAACCTTTGAGGTTATATTTGGGAGCACATTGAAGCTAATTGTGAAAAAGAAGGTATATTCAGGTAAAAACTAGAAAGAAGCTCTATAAGAAACTGCTTTGTGATGTGTGCATTCATCTCACAGAGTTAAACTTTTCTTTTGATTCAGCACTTTGGAAACACTGTTTCTGTCCATTCTGCAAACGGACATTTTGGAGCTCATTGAGGTCAGTGTTGAAAAAGTAAATAACCCAGGATAAAATCTAGAATGAAGCTATCTGGAAACCGCTTTCTGGTGTGTGCATTCATTGCACAAAGATAAAATTGTTTTTTCATTCAGCAATTAGAAAACATTGTTTTGTCCATTCTGTGAATGGACATTTGGGAGCTTATGGAGGCCAATGGCAAAAAGGTGAATTTTCCAGGATAAAAACTAGAAGGAAGCTATAGAAGAAACCACTTTGTGATGCGTGCATTCATCTCACAGAATTAACTTTCCTATACATTCAGCAGTTTGGAAACACTATTTTTGTAGAATCTACAAAGGGATATGTTGTACTGCATCGAAGGCTCTGTTGAAAAAAAATATCCTCAGACAAAAACTAGAGAAAAGCTTTCTGAGAAACTGGTTTTTTAGGTTGACATTTATCTCATAGAGTTAAGCCTTTCTTTTGATTCAGCAGTTTGCAAACACTGTTTTTGTCTATTCTGCAAATGGACATTTGGGACCTCATTAAGGCCAATTGAGAAAAAGCAAATATTCCAGGATTAAAACTAGAAGGAAGCTCTCTGAGAAACTGCTTTGTGATGTGTGCATTAATCCCTTTTCATTCAGCTGCTTGGAAACACTGTGTTTTTAGAATCTGCGAAGGGATATTTGGGAGGGCATTGAGGTCTATGGTGAAAAAGAAAATATCTTCAGATAAAAACTAGAAAGAAGCATTCTGCTTTGTGTTGTGTGCATTAATCTCACAGACTTAAAGTTTTCCTTGATTCACTAGTTTGGAAACACTCTTTCAGTCCATTCCGTGAAGGGACACTGGGGAGCTGATTGAGGCCAATGGCAAAAAGGCGAGTATCCCAGGATAAAAACAAGAAAGAAACTATCTGACAAACGGCTTTGTGATGTGTGCTTTCATCTCACAGAGATAAACCATCCTCTCATTCAGCAGTCTGAAAACTCTATTTATCTAGAATCTGCAAAGGGATATTTGGGAGTACATTTTGTCCTATTGTGAAAAAGAAAATATCTTCAGGTAAAAGCCAGAAAGAAGCTTTTTGTGAAACTGCTTTCTGATGTGTGCATTGATCTCATGGAGTGAAAACTTTCTTTTGATTCAGGAGTTTGGAAACACTGTTTCTGTCCGTTCTGTGAATAGACTTTTGAAAAGTCATTGAGGTCAATCATGAGAAAGTGAATATCCCAGGATAAAAACAAAAGGAAGCTATATGAGAAACCACTTTGTGATATATGCATTCATCTCACAGAATTAAAATTTGCTTTTCCTTCATTAGTTTGGAAACACTGTTTTTGCAGAATCTGTGAAGGCAAATTTAGGAGCATGTTGAGGCCTACGGTGGAAAAGAAAGTAAATTCAGATAAAAACGAGAAAGAAGCTGTCTGAGAAACTGCTTTGTAATGTGTGCATTCGTTTCACAGTGTTGAACTTTTCTTTTAATTCATCAGTTTGGAAACACTGTTTTTGTCCATTCTGCAAATGGATATTTGGCAGCTCAGTGAGGACAAAGGCGAAACAGCGAATATCCCATGATAAAAACTACAATGAAGTTAACTGAGAGACTGCCCTGTGATGTGTGCATTCATCTCTCATTGTTAAAGGTTTCTTTTGATTCAGCAGTTTGGAAATACTGTTTTTTTAGTATCTTTGAAAGGGTATGTGGGAGCGCATTGAGGCCTGTGGTGAAAACAAAATATCTTCAGATAAAAACTGGAAAGACACTTTCTGAGAAACTCCTTTTGATGTTTGCATTCATCTCAGAGAGTTAAAATTTTCTTTTCATTCAGCAGTTTGGAAACACTCTTTTTCTCCATCCTGCTATTGGACATTTCAGAGCTCAATGAGGCCGATGGCAAAAAAGTGAATATCCCAGGACAAAAACAAGAAGAAAGCTATCTGAGAAACCGCTTTGTCACATGTGCATCCATTTAGCAGAGTTAAGATTTTTTTTTTTTCATTCAGCTGTTTGGAAATAATGTTTTTCTAGAATCTGTGATGGGATTTTTGTGAGCTCATTAAGGCCTATGGTGAAAAAGGGAATATCACAGAACAAAAACTAGAAGGAAGCTATCTGAGAAACTACTTTGTGATGTGTAAAACTGTCGTTTCATTCAGCACTTTGGAAACACTGTTTTTGTAGAATCTGAGAAGTGATATTTGGGAGTGCATTGGGGCATGCGGTGAAAAAGAAAATATCTTCAGATAAAAACTAGAAAGAAACATTTTGAGAAACTGCTTTGCAATGTGTGCATTCATCTCACAGAGGTAAAACCTTCTTTGGATTCAGCAATTTCAAAACACATTTTTTGTACATACTGTGAATGGATATTTGGGAGCTCTTTGAGGCCAATGTTGAAAAAGTAAATATTCCTAGATAAAAATTAGCAGGAAGGTAACTGAGAAATAACTTTGTGATAGGTGCATTCATGTCACAGACTTAAAACTTACTTTTGAGTCAGCCTTTTGGAAAAAGAGTTTATGTCCATTCTGAGAATGGAAATTTGCATGCCCATTGAGTCTATTGCAAAAAACTGAATGTCCCAGGATAAAAAGTAGAATGAACCTATCTGGAAACTGCTTTGTGATGTATGCATTCACCTGGCAGTGTTAAAACATTCTTTTGATTTAGCAGTTTGGAAACACTGTTTTCATTCATTCTGTGAATGGACATTTGGTTGCTCATTGATGCCAAATTCAAAAAAGTGAATAACCCAAAACAGAAACAACAAAGAAGCTATCTGAGAACCCACTTTGTGATGTGTGTATTCATCTCACATAGTTAAACCTTTCTTTTCATTTAGAAGTTTGAAAACATTGTTTTTGTAGAATCTGTGAAGTGATAATTTGCAGTGCATTGAGGCCTGTGGTGACAAAGGAAATATCTTCAGAAAGAAGCTTTCTGAGAAACTGCTTTTTGATGTGTGCATTTATCTCACAGAGTTAAACCTTTCTTTTGATTCAGCAGTTTGGAAACTGAGGCCTATATTGAAAAGAGTATGTTTACATAAAAACTGGAAAGAAACTTTCTAAGCAACTACTTTGTGACGTATGAATGATGTATGAATTCGTCTCACAGAGTTAAACATTTCTTTTGATTTAGTAGTATTGAAACACTGTTTTTGCCAATTCTGCAAAAGCAGATTTTGGAGCTCATTGAGGGCAATGATGAAAAAGTGGATATAACAGCATAAAAACTAGAAGGAAGCCATGTGAGAAACAGCTTCGGGCTGCGTGCATTCATATCCCAGAGATAAAACTGTCTTTCATTAAGTAGTTTGAAAACACTGTTTTTGTAGAAACTGTGAAGAGATATTTAGGAGCACAATGAGGTCTATGGTAAAAAAGAAAATATCTTCAGATAATTATTAGAAAGTAGTTTTATGAGAAACTGCTTTATGATGTGTTCATTCATCTCACAGAGCTCAACCTTTCTTTTGATTCACCAGTTTGGAAACACTTTTTGTCCATTCTGAAAATAAACATTTGTGGTCTCACTGAGGCCAAAGATGAAAAAGGAAATATCCCAGAATAAAAACTAGAAGGAAGCAATCCTACAAACTGCTCTGTGATGTGTGCATTGATTACAGACAGTTAAACCTCTCTTTGGATTAAGCAGTCTGGAAACACTGTTTTTGTCCATTCTGCTAATGTACATTTGGGAGCTCGTTGAGGACAGTGGTGAAAAAGGAATAACCCCGGATGATAATTAGAAGGAAGCTATCTGAGAAACTGCTTTGTGATGGATGTGGGCATTCATCTCACAGAGTTAAACCTTTCTTTTCATTCAGCAGTTGGAAACACTGTTTTTGTCCATTCTGTGAATGGACATTTGGGAGCTCATGGAGGCCAAAGGTTAAGTAGCAAATGTTCCCTGATAAAACTGGAAGGAATCTATATGAGAAACTGCTTCAGTTATGTGCATACATCACACAGAATTAAACCTTATTGAGGAGTTTGGAAACACTGTTTTTCAGAATCTGCAAAGGGATATTTTGCAGTGCATTGAGGCCTGTGCTGAAAAAGGAAACACCTTCAGATAAAAACTAGAAAGAAGCTTTCTGAGAAACTGCATTTTTATGTGTGCATTTATCTCACAGTGTTAAACATTTCTTTTGATTCAGCATTTTGGAAACACTGTTTTTTTTTTACATTCTGTGAATGGACGTTTTAGGACTCATTGAGGCCAATAGTGAAAAAGTGAATATCCGTGGCTATTCACTAGAAGGAAGCTATCTGAGAAACTGCTTTGTGATGCGTGCATTCACCTCACAGAGTTAAACCTTTGTTTTGATTCTGCTGTTTGGTAACACTGTTTTTGTAGAAACTGCAAAGGAATATTTGGATGTGCATTGAAGTCTATGGTGAAAAAGAAAATATCTTCAGATAAAATCTAGAAAGAAGCTTTCTGAGAAACTGCTTTGTAATGTGTACATTTATCTCATGAAGTTAATATTTTCTTTTGATTCAATAGTTTGGAAACACTGTTTATTTCCATTCTGTGAATGGATGGAGCTCATTGAGTCAAATGGTGAAAATGGGAATATCCCAGGATAAAAACTACAAGGAACCTAATGGTGAAACCACTTTTTGATGTGTGCATTCATCTCGCAGATTTAAACCTTTATTTCATTCAGAAGTTAGGAAATACTGTTTTTGTAGAACCTGCAAAGGGATATTTGGGATCCTGCTGAGGCCTATTTTGAAAAAGAAAATAACTTCAGATGAAAACTAAAAAGAAGCATTGTGAAACTGCTTTGAGATGTGTGCATTCATCTGACAGAGTTAATCCATTCTTTTCATTCAGAAGTTTGGAAACAGTGTTTTGTAGAATGTGTGAGAGTATATTTTGAAGTGCATTGAGGCCTATGGTGGAAAAGGAAATATCTTAAGATAAGAACAAGACAGAAGCTTTCTGAGAAACTGCTTTTTGATATGTGCATTCATCTCACAGAGTTGAACATTTGTTTTGATTTAGCAATTTGGAAACACTGTTTTTGTCCATTCTATGAATGGAAATTTGGGAACTCATTGAAAACAATGGGGAAAGTGAATATCCCAGGGTAAATATAGAAGAAGAATATCTGAGAAACTGCTTTGTGATGGATGTGGGCATTCATCTCACAGAGTTAAACCTTTCTTTTCATTCAGCAGTTGGAAACACTGTTTTTGTCCATTCTGTGAATGGACATTTGGGAGCTCATGGAGGCCAAAGGTTAAGTAGCAAATGTTCCCTGATAAAACTGGAAGGAAATTATATGAGAAACTGCTTTGGTTATGTGCATAAATCACACATAATTAAACCTTATTTTATTTTGGCAATATGGAAACACTGTTTTTGTGGAATCTGCAAGGGGATATTTTGGAGCATATTAAGGCATATGGTGAAAAATAAAATATCTTCAGATAAAAAGTAGAAAAAAGCTTTCTGAGAAGCTTCTTTGTTATGTGTGCTTTCAACACACAGAGTTAAACCTTTCTTTTGATTCAGCAATTTGGAAACACTATTTTTATCTATTTGGAGAACAGACATTTAGGAACTCTTTGCAGCCAATGGCGAAAAAGTGAATATCCCAGGATAAAAACTAGAAGAAAGTTTTCTGAGAACCAGCTTTGTGATGTCAGCATTCATCTCACAAAGTTAAACCTTTCTTTTGATTCAGCAGTTTGGAAACACCGTTTTTATCTATTCAGAGAATGGACATTTCAGATCTCTTTGAGCCCCAAGGTGAAAAAGCGAATCTCCCATGATAAAAAATAGAAGGAATCTATCTGATAAACTGCCTTGTGATGTGTACATTCACCTCAAAGAGTTAAACTTTTCATTCAGCAGTTTGGAAAAACTGTTTTGGTAAAATCTGCAAAGGTGTACTTGGGAGTGCATTGGGGCCAAACTAGAAGTTTCCTTTTAGTTTTTATCTGATGATACTTTCTTTTTCACCAGAGGTCTCAATGTGCTCCCACCTATCCCTTCACAGAGACTACAAAAACAGTGATTCCAAACTGCTGAATGAAAATAAAGGTTTCAGTCTGTGGGATGAATGCACATATCACAAAGCCATTTCTCATATAGCTTCTTTCCAGTTTTCATCCTGGGATATTCACTTTTTCACCTTTGGCCTCAATGAGCTCCCAAATGTCCATTCACAGAATGGACAAAAACAGTGTTTCCAAACTGCGGAAAGAAAAGAAAGGTTTCAATATGTGGGATGAATGCACACATCACAAAGCAGCTTCTCAGATAGATTCCTTCTCATTTTTATCTGGGATTTTTGATTTTTCCCCGTTGGCCTCAATGAGCTCTCAAATGTTCATTTGCAGAATGGACAAAAACAGTTTCCAAACTGCTATATAAAAGGAAACTTTATCTCTGTGAAATGAATACACAAATCATTAAGAGGTTTGTCAGAGTGCACCCATCTAGTTTTTATCCTAGGATATTCCCTTTTTCACCATTGGCCTCAACAAGCTCCAAATGTCCATTCAGAGAATGGACAGTGTTTCCAAACCAAGGAATCAAAAGAAAGGTTTATCTTTGTGAGATGAATGCACCCTTCACAAAGCAGTTTCTCAGAAAACTTCTTTCTAGTTTTTATCTGAAGATATTTTATTTTTCACCATCGGCCTCAATGTGCTCCCAAATATCGCTTGCAGATTCTACAAAAACAGCGTTTCCAAACAGCTGAATGAAAAAAAAGTTTAACTCTGTGAGATGAATGCATACATCACAAAGTGGTTTCTCAGAGAGCTTCCTTGTAGTTTTCATCTGGGCATATTTCCTTTTTCACCATTGGCCTCAATGAGCTCCCAAATATCCATTCAGAGTATGGACAAACACAATGATTCCAAACTGCTGCATGAAAAGAAAGGTTTAACACTGTGAGATGAATGCACACATCACAAAGTAGTTTATCAAAAATCTTCTGTCTAGTTTTTATCTGAAGATATTTTCTTTTTCAGCATAGGCCTCAAGGAACTTGCTAATATTTCTTTCTCTTTCTTTGTTTCTTTCCTTCCTTCTTTCTTTCTTGTGTTCATGCTTTCTTTTTGCTCCCTTCCTGCCTTTCTCCCTTCCTCCCTCCCTCCCTTCCTTCCCTCATTTCCTCCTTCTTTTCTTTCTTCTTTCTTTCCTTATTTCCTTCCTTCCTTCTTTTTATTTCTTTGTTTTCTTTTCTTTCTTTCTCTTTACTACAATTAATATTATTTTAAAAATTTAAGACAGGGAGACAGGAAAATAAAGAACGCTTTAATCTGCAGGTAAATAGATTATGTCTGCTGTAGGCCAAAGAATGTCTTCCCAAAAATTTTCGTGTCCTAATTCCCAGAGTCTAACATACAAATATGTTAGGTTGCATGGCAATGTGAAATTAGACTTCAAGTGAAATTCTGGTTGTGGAAAAATGATAGAGAGATTGTCTTAAATGGGTGGGATCAATGAAATCACAAACTTCCTTATAAGTGAAAGAAGAAGGCAGAAGAAAGGCAACATTGGAGGTGGTGGCATGAGAAATTACTCAACATCACTGACTCTTAAGATACAAGAATGAAGACCCAGTGTGGTGGCTCACGCCTAATCCCAGCACTTTAGGAGGCTGGGGTGGGTTTATCACGAGGTCAGGAGATCAAGACCATCCTGGATAACATGGTGAATCCCCATCCCTACTAAAAACACAAAAAATTAACTCGGCTTAGTGGCAAGTGCCTGTAGTCCAAGCTACACAGGAAGCTGAGTCAGAAGAATCCCTTGAACCCGGGAGGCAGAGGTTGCAATGAGCTGAGATCATGCCACTGCACTCCATCCTGGGTGACAGTAGGAGACTCCATCTCAAAAAAAAAAAAAGAAATATAGAATATAAGAATGAGGTCATATTCCAAGGAGTAAAGGTGGCCTCTGGATGCTGAAAAAAATCAAGTAATAGATTCTGCCACATAGCCGTCAGACAGACTGCAGCCCTGCCCAAAACTTGATGTTAGCCCTGTGAGTTTCATTTAAGGCTTCTGAACTACAGAACTGTAGGATTAACGGTCACTTTGTTGTAAGATATGAAGTTTGTGGTAATTGGTTATAGCAGCAAGAGGAAGTTTATATTGTAATTGTATCATGAAAATGAGAACCATAATTTATAACTCCTTTTAATACTGCACTTGGATGTTTGAAATCACGTACATGAAAATGATCTCTATGTGCATGAGGGAGGATAGCAAATTGATGCCAAAATAATGCAAATGCAAATGTTACACTCATTTCTATGTAGGTTTCATTTAATCTTTGAAATTAAAATGAAATTAAAAGATTGTGATCTTTTGATGAAATTAGGCTAAAATGAACAATAACAAAATAAGAACTTACTTATATTCTTTATAAGGTCAATAAAGAAGTGATAGTGGAAAAAAACAAGATCAAATGAAGGTGATGACTTAGGAAGTTGGAAAGATAGCTGACACTACAAAATGGTATATAACCAGTGAACACTTAGACACACTGATTGATGAACTTCAGCTTTTGGCTTGGTGAGAGCATAAAATGAGAGCAGCTGAGGTTTGCAAATTTGTAATCTCCTTGTGGAAAAACAGGGGAAAACACATCTCAGCCTAATAAGATTTATCTACTAAAGAGTCTAGACTTGATCCATTTGTCCTTGTAATTCAAAAGCTAATTCAAATACTGATTCGATGTATTGTGTGAACAACCATTGCTGATTATCATCGCATATCTGGCATTCTCTTGTACCTGATATCTAAAATATTTGGTAATTCCTGGACTTTCTCTTTTCAAACCCAGTGCAGTTTAATTTGAATCTTGGAACAGTTGTGTTTGAGAAATTCTTCCCTCTAATGCATCTGTGAATGGGCATAGCATGGTTACATACATGCTGTCACTCCATAGAACATTTGCTAAATTAAAGCCAAAGTTTAAAGCAAGAGCTTTAAATTACTGGTTTTACTAATGTTTTCCTCCCCAATAGCCACAACAATATGGATACCCTCACACCTTTTAACATAAAGCTTGGTGTTGTCTATTTTTCAGTTGCTGTAATGTACATGATCTCAGTATTTTAAAAATAAGCTTCCAGCCCATATGGTGGTTCATGCTTGTAATACCAGCAGTTGAAGAGGCTGAAATGAGAGGATTCCTTGAGCACAGGAGTTCACAAGCGACCTGGGCAACATAGCAAGAACCAGTCTCTATCAAAAGTTAAAAAAAAGTGGGCATGGTTATGTGCACCTGTTGTCCTAGTTATTTGGGAGGCCAAGGTGGAAGGATTGCTTGAGCTTGGGAGGCTGAGGCTGCAGTGAGCAGAGATTGCACCACTGCACTCCAGCCTGGGCAACAAAGCAAGAACCTATCTCAAAAAATATATATAATAAAAATAAAAATCAGCTCTCATTGATTTCTATGTAAATATGCACAGGTGATGTCCATATAGACATAAATAATAATATTTCTGACCATGGGTCCCTATGATCTTCAAAATGTAAAATGCCTGTCTGTGTAATTGACTGGTTAGTCTCATTAATGAATATAGATTCAATTCTACTTTCTTGTTCTAGATAAATTATATAATCTAGCTTTTCATTTCACTTATTTACTGATAACAACAGGAAGAATGACAAGATATCTATTTTGGAAAATTACTCTGGTAGGAGAAAGATGAAACAATGATAGAATTGCACGGAAAACTAGAAAAAAGTATGTTCTTCTGATATTCTATCACATCACATACTAAAGGCCTCATAAAACTCAGATATTTTAGCTAAAAATGTTATTTTCATCATAGGAATGATCAAAGCATGAGACTACAATTGTATTAAAATGTGCTTGTATCACAAGCACAGGTGCTAAAAAGGAGGGGAAAACATCCTTACTGATATTTTCAACGTATGTTTTACTTTTCATCAACATGAACCTCAACTTGATATGATGCAGATTGAACGAAATCACCCATAACTCCATATGAAGAAGGCCTGTGATATTTTATGGGAAAATAAATAGAGAAAATGCTAACAGAAACCCTGTTAAGCATTAAGTTTTATGGAGCAAACACAAATCCAGTGGTGAAAGATACACACTCGAGTTCTGTTTGTTGTCTTGGAACAATACGGTTTAGAGGTGACTGGCGGGTGAGGAGAACATATGCGAGTTCACCAAAGAGAAAAGCTGAATGAGGCAATGCCTCTTCCTGACCATATCTCTTTCTCAGATAACTATAGAATTTATTGTCCAGTAAAGGGTATATTAAAAAATCATATTAAAAGTCATGCAGTGAAGTTGTCCAGGGAAATCAAGACTTAACAGTCTCACTCTGACAATAATGAACAGGGGGATTCCCTCAAGATAGACTAGGACATGACCCCACACTGGCAGGTAGTAGTACCAGAAAAGAACGCATGGAAAATCTTTACCTTATGCTTGAGGTAGGGACCAGGCTAAAGTGAAAGCCAGACCTAAAATTCTATCTAAAATAAATCCACAATCAAAGAAAATATGTGGTGTACAGGCATAGAATGTCTTTACTGGATCATTGAAATGGTAAGATAAATTCAACTTTTTACATTATTTTCTTTTCCTCCAGTTAGGGCTTGAGGTTTGTCTCTGGAGAGTGATTGTCAGTTGGAGCCCTGCCTTTCTGGGGTTCTGGTCAGGGGGTTGTGGATGCTTAACATGTGCCTTTCACAGGACACTTCCTTACCCCAGCAGTGGCCAGGTGTGCATCCCACGACCAGGCCTCCCTCTCACAGAACATCTGTTGAGACTAGGAGATGCCTGGTGACTGTTGCCTCACCTGTGTCCTGTGTATTTCTGACAAGAGCCACTCTCAGAGACCCTGGCCAGAGGAGAGTTAGGTTCCAGTGTAGGTCAACTCAGACACATGGAGGCCACAGAACCAAACATGGGAAATCACAGAAGTAGGTTTATTACTCACAGATCCAGAGAGAAGAGGGTAGCTGTGAAGAGGGTTTAGCTGTGTCCCCAGCCAAATCTCATCTTGAATTCCCACATGTTGTGGGAGGGAACAGGTGGGAGGTAATTGAATCATGAGGGCAGGTCTTTCCCATGCTGTTCTTCTGATAGTGAATAAGTCTCACAAGATCTGATGGATTTATAAAGAGGAGTTTCCTGCACAAGCTCTCTTGTCTTGTCTGCTGCCATGTGAGACGTGCCTTTCATCTTGTGCCATGATTGTGAGGCCTACCCAGCCATGTGGAACTGTGCATCTATTAAACCTCTTTCTTCTGGAAATTACCCAGTCTTGGGCATGTCTTTACTGGAGGTGTGAAAATGGACTAATACAGTAGCACACCTCATAGGGCTGAACAAAATGGGGAAGATGAGTGGGGAGCAGGAGAGAGAAAAGCGGTCTGTGGGACTGCAGCCTTTATTGGGCCCAGAACATTATCCAAACAAGTTTTCCACGGGGCACTAGTCGGCGGGGTGAGTGCCAGCAGGCACATTTCTTGACTCCCGCTGCAACCGAGCAGGTCACTGTGGCGTGTGGGGCCTGTCCATGTGCACTGTGAGGTCTGTGGGGTGAGTCAGGTAGATTGTATCCAACGGTTCCATAGCTGGTAGTCACCAGGAGGAGGCAACTGTGTAGGGTCAATATCTGGGCCAGCCACACTGAGGAACTGTGAGAGTTAGAACTGGAAATTGTCAAGGGAATCCGAACCCAGCTACCATATGAGAGAGTTCAACTTATGTTCAATGTGAATGCCATGGCAATATTAAAAGGTAAGAATTCGCTCCATACGTGCTTGAGGTAAATAGGAGAAACCTAGAATTTATGTAAACAGTGAGAAGATTGGATGCGTTTTCTGTCTCATATTTTAATACTAGCAGCATATTATATATGTCGATCCATCACGCATTCAGAAATACATGCTTATGAAAATTTTTTGCACCATCAGACAAAAGACAAGGGTAGAAGACATTTGTAACCCTATAAACACTAGTAAATTAAAAACAGAAGGACCTTTATGTCCTAACATATCTGTGTTGTGAAAGGCTGCCCTGTGAAATACGGGATTTCTTAAACATATTTTAAAAATCATAGGTGTCAATATTTTTTAGAAATCCATTTAAATTTTCTCTTGCTATTTTACAATGCCTATTTATTTATTTAGTGGCTCTGCTGACTTTGATGTATAACCTAAACTTCATATTTTCTTTAAAGGATGTTTTATACAACTTTATGTAAAATGTTTCAGTATCTTCACATTCTCTCCCTGTCCTCTTGTTTTGCTCTTATATGGTGTTCTTGAGTCTTTTCTGTGGCTTTTCAAACCTAGTAAGACTAAGACACTAAAGCAACTTTGCCGGTGGTTTGGTAATGCCTTCCAAAGCACATCCAAAGCTCGCGTGCATACAGGGGTCTCCTTTGAGCTCTGTGCTTTTGAGATCCCATATACCTAAATTCCAGTACTCCAAATCAGTACTGCTCAGTTTTAGTGACTAAGTTTAAAAATGTATTTTAATAGCAAGTTAGTTTAGTGCACTCTTGTTTCTTCTTGACTGCTTGTATACATGTATATTCCTTTAAATGAATCTTGTAATTTATTTAAAAATTTTAAATTATACTAATGAAACTGTATATGGTTGTGAATTCATAAGTGAATTTGGAAAGAATTTGTCTTTAAGATACTAAATCTTTTTTATCCAAGAATCATATGTGTCTTTATATTTATTCCACTCTATATTTATATCACTGACTAAATATATAGAAATATAGATACATACAGCTGTAGTTATAGATACAAATATAGATATAACATATTAAATCTATATCTATCACACATAACATATATACATGTTATATGTGTGTGTATATATACATATGATTATGTTATTAAAGAGCTCCCTTAAAATTTTTCTTTTTTCTCCCATATAATTTTAGATCGAGCTTCAATTTTCCTTGTATAAACAAGCGAATATTTATACTAGTTTTAATAGTGATGTTTAGATATTGTATCCTCTTTTAGCACTGAATATTTTCACAATTATTATAAATATTATCTAATATTTATAATGTACCTGCTAAAAATACTTAAAATTTTACCTTTGAATTATTTTATTGTTGAATTAAAATTCCTTAAATATGATAGTAAATTTCTATTTTATGCTTTCCCTATGCATATGCAAATTAATCTATCCACTTCTCTATCTCTATGTAGTGACATATGACAATCAGGCCTCTCTTCTTCTAATGGACATACACATGTTTGCATATAGAATATCAGACCCTTTATAGCATTTAAAATCTTTAAAGACATGAATATTGCCTTTTAACAAATATACTTTAGCATGTACTGAGAATCCCCTATTTATTTTTAATTTGGGCTAATCAATAAGATTATTAATATTATTGGATACCCAAATTTGGAAACACAGTTTCATCCCCAATGTTGATATTTTTTTTATTTTTTTTTTGCCAATTTCTTGTCTTACTGTTTCAAATATTGTTGGATGTTATTTTTATTTTATTTAGCATTTTAATATCAACATTTGTAATTGAGATCCTCTACATATTTTTTCTTCAATATCTGGTGGGTTTTATAATTACTGCTATATTGGATTTGTAGTAGACATTAACAAAAATTATTCCTGTATGTTTTATAGCTGTATGAGGGAAACTAATATATTTTACCACTAAATATATTTCCTTGATATATATCAAAATGGCTATTGAGAAGGGCTGGAAATTCAAACTTAGCTGCAAAGCTGTCTTGGGGAGATTTGCATCGGTAGAGGATCTGCCTTGATGCAGCCAGGCTTTCTCTGAGGTCTGCCCCCTTGTCTGGATCTAGGAAAAGTTAACTGAGAGTCTGAGGTCTCCAAAGGTCTGAAAGAAGCATTTTCTGTCTATTCTCTCTGAGGACTGCTCCCAGTGAGTTTCCACCTATGTAATAAGTCCACTGTTGCTAGCCTGGGTCGTTTTCTCACATAAACTTTTTCTTTCTTTTCCCTGTGATCCAAGACCCCATTCTTTCTGTAAACTTCATGTGGTAGATAATCTTCTGCACGCATCGTGTGTCTGGGTCTTCGTTCTAAGGGCTCCAGTGTACACACATTGCAGAAATCTGTTTACCTTTTCACTATTTCTCTGCCTCCTATTAGTGATTTTCAGGGAAACTTCAGAAGGCAAAAGGGACATTCTCCTTTAGCCCATTCTCAGACAAAATCCCCCAACATTTAATTGATTCCTAATAGCTTAAAATCACTTTGAAAAATCCATATATTTATAACGTTTTCTTCCCTCTATGATTTCTGGTCAGCTTGAGTTTTGTTTTTCATTCCGTTTACTTCATCCTCGAAAAGATCTATTTTACGTCTATTTATTCTCATTTATGGACATTGAGAAAAGAAAATAACTTTCATGTGAGAAATGCAAGTCCTTTTAAATAATCACGTCCAGAGAGATATTCAAATGAGACAGCAGTTCTGTCCTGCTCGTCTTTGAGCTGTGTGTTCGTCTAGGCTGCTTGCTGTTGCCACAGTAGCTATAAATTAACCAATAACGCCACACCAGACACTATAATCCACACCCAATAATAGTGTAACAGTGTATAGCCAGTCACTAATAAATGTTATTTCCATAAGCCAATGAGAATTTGTGACAAACCTCTTTGCATCATCCCACTTCTGGACCCTTTTTTGCCTTTAAGAAACTGCTTCTTGCAAAGCTCCAAAGGGAGTTCATATCCAAGGATACTTGGGTCTGTTTCTTCCAGGCAGCTGTCCTCATTGTGGCTCAAGTAAACTCTTTGAATTTCGTTTTGTGCTTCAGCCCCTTCCACTTAGATTAACAACATGGATTTGTGTCACCATGTACAGCAATTAAAATGTTTACACTTTTCCCCTCGAGGGCACTGATGTGTTTTCCTGAGCACTTGGAATAGCTACGTAGTGTTTCCTGTCTAGATTATGGTTTCTCAACCTTGTTGCTACTTACCTTTAGGACCAAAGGATTCTTTGTTGTGGGAGGCTGCCCTACCAATGCTAGGTGTTTCGTTTGACCTCTAAATTTCCCACCTCCACCAGTCTTGACATCCCCACAATAACCCTAGACATTGACAAATGTCTCCTGGGGACAACTCTCCACCAGTTGACAGGCAAAGTTCTGGAAATATTGGAATTGTCAATTGAGATTTTATGTTATCCAAAACAAATATTTTTCTTTGTTTTTAAACATCTACTTCCGTCTACTTATCTACTTATTTTTACTTTTATTTGTAACTTAATTCCATCAAGGAGAGAGAGTGCATTTTCTGTTATGCTAAATTTTTGAAGAATGTATTGATTTTTTATGACCTGATGTATGGATGATATGTGGATATTACATGTTTGTGTTATCAAATTTCAGGGCGATAATAAAATAAATACTTATAATATTTATATTGTCACAGTATATTTGTTATTTTCTTTCTTCACTACAGGAGTTTTTCAACCTATAGGCTATTTTTCAATTCTTGGTTATCCAGTTGATTTTGAAATGTTATGATTAAATATCTACTTCTCAAGCATTCATCTTTGCAAATGAAAAAAATCCCAAGCTCTTATAATGCACATCATATAAAGGGCAAATTAGTCAATATATGGTTCAGAAATAATTATGTAATATTTATAAGAAAATTAAAAATTTACATCCTTAACTCAGATAACAATAATCCAAATTAAAATTTGATTTCATTACATAATTTAAAATGACACCAGAATACTAATAAAAATGTAGATAAGTTTATATAATCTTTTTTAGCTGTAGGACTTTATTAGCATAAATTGAAATACAGGATCCAAAGTAAGATTGAGAACTATAGTCAAAGGTTAATATGCACACATTATAGGGGCATGATTAAACTAATTTAAAGCATAATAACATGGAGAAATATTGCAAAACATACATTTTACTGAATTAATTGTTAATATCTAATCATTATGTGAGAACAAAATTAAAGAGTAGCTACACAGGCACACACCCACACACAACTGCAATATTGTCAAATAAACGATATTCAGCTACACTAGAAATCACACCTGTGTTTTCTCCACAGAAGAGTAAAGATTAAAAATCACAATATTATTTATTGTACATATGGAGGTAAAGCTACTCAAAATATTACCCAAAAATGCATTTTTTTTTTGAGATGGAGTTTTGCTTTTATTGCCCAGGCTAGAGTGCAGGCACAATCTTGGCTCACTGCAACCTCAGCTTCCCAGGGTCAACTAATTCTCCTAGCTCAGCCTCCCAAGTAGCTGAGATTACAGGCATGCACCACCACACTCGGCTAATTTTTTGTATTTATTAGAGACAGGGTTTCACCATGTAGGTCAGGCAGGTCTCCAACTCCTGACTTCAGGTGATCTACCCACTTCAGCCTCCCAAAGTGTTGGGATTACAGGCGTGCGCCTGGCCAGCTTTTTGACATATTTCAAGATGGCTACTCGGAAGACTGGAGATAGCTTCTTCTACAAAAATAGCTGAAAAGCTGTGTTTGTTGGGGAGATTTGTATTTGTAGAGAAAATCTGCATTGATATAGACCGGCTTTCCCTGAGATACTCCCTTGCCTGGGTTTAGGAAAGATTAACTGAGTCTGGCACGTTTACATTTCTAAAAACCATTTCCTATCTATAGTTCCCAAGAGGAGGGCTGCTCCCTGTGAGGTTTCACCGATGTAACAAGACCAACTCTGCTGCCAGGCTCCTCTTTCTTCCTTGTCGTCACCTGTCTTCCTCAAAGCCTGATTTACCAACCTACAGCTCTGTGTTTTCTGTAACCTCAAGACAGCATAGGTGTGCTGACTACCTTGCCTTTCCTGGAGTTTTTATATATATAGTATATATTTGTATATCTGTTTATAATATACAAATATTTGTATAGATATATATATTATGTAAACTGCAAGTGCATACTTGTGCACATATCTGTAAACCTTTTTTTTCCTGTTAATTTGTACTTTATCAGTTTATTTTATAGACTCAAATAATTAAATCTTCCAGGGAAAAATTTAAACTTTCTTATAGAGAAAAGACAAATATATAGGTGACAAATAATATTTAGAGTGTAAGAAGCTTTTTAAAGGTATATTTGCAATTTGTGTCAAAACATTTAAGTATAGATTTGTTACTTTAAATATAAAATTTCAAATAATTTAAGCCAAATACATAGTATATGCAGAAAATTAGCAATATATCTATGTAGCACCTTACTGTACATTACTGTAACCAGCCGTCTAACATAAAGAACTAATTAAGGTAGCACCTACTTTTCAAATATCGCATTTTTTTCACAGACCTATTAAATAAGACAAATAACATTTAAACTTTATTTTTAAATTTGCAGAATAGTAGTTTTCAGCAGATGGTTTATTTTAGCAAATTCCATCTTCACATTGTGCTATGTTGTTATGAGTTCCAGCTCTTAACGGATATTTTACTGCTGAAACTGTCACGTGTGATATAATTGCTCATTATGTGCCTTAAAACACAAGCAATATAATTATTTTCAACTTGGAACAATTTAAAAACTCTAGAGTCGTCTTCTCTGGTTAATTATTTTAAACTTGTATTTTTCTCTTTAAGTTTTTAGTGAGTTGTCTTATCAAGGAGAAGAACTCAAGCTGATTATTCTTTTTTTTCTCTTCCATCCACCTCGCAGGTGTGTTAATAATTTCATTTCTCAGAAAATGTTCTTTCATATCCATCTTACAAGATGAGAGACCTTTCAACATCTTCCATTCGGATGTCATACGAGTAATGGAACATATTCCAGCTTCATGAATATGGTGATACAAATAGTTATCCGTCTAACCTCTTTCAGTGCCAAATGTTTACTTTACTCAGTGAATTACTCAGTTGACTGGTAATGTCTTCTGAAATCACTAATGAGAGGATCAGAGGTCTGGCTGTGGTCTGTACCTCATGTGACTCCCAGTGCAGACAATTGTTTCTATGGACCACAGACAGTTGAAAGGATTGAATTCCTGCCTAGAAGAGTTTCTGCTCTGCTCCTTATCCTTCTTGTGGAGATTTCAGATTATCTGAATTGCTTTTCTATCTTAAGATAAAACGCAACAATTCTCCCACCTGAGAGGAATGTAAACTGTAGTAAGTTAGCAGAACCAATCCGTAAAGTTTGTACATGGTTTGTTGTAAAATGCAGCGCTGGTGTCTCCATCACTAACATTTTCTCTCCCTCATTGCTCTTTCTTTGACTGCAATTGGATACCTCTAGGTAAATCTGTATTCCTGAGACAGATTGCCCTTTTGATGAGCTATAAGTACACTCAATGGTAGGCTGAAATACTAGCTTTTATATATGGCAAAACGGAATCATATCAGTGATTTTTTTAAAATAGGAAATTTAACTCTTGCTATGGTTTGAATGCTTGCCCCTTCCAATCTCATGTTAAAATTTGATCCCCAATGTTGCAGGTGGGGCTCACTGGGAGGTGTTCTTTCATGGGGGTTGGACCTTCATGAATGGATAATACCCTCCCTTAGGAATCTAAAGCTATCCTCCCTCCTCGGTGTCCTCAGGAATGAGTGTACCATTCTTTATTCACCTATAATTCCCCCACCCATCCTTTTTGAGATATTGATTACATGTATGTTACACTGCTGCATATTGTCTGACGTATCAGTGAGTTTCTGGCTTTCTTATTTTAGTTTACCATTTGTCCTTTAGTTTGTAAAGCTTCTATTTTGTTCTATAAATTTTCTGATGTTAGGGTAAGATACATTACTTATTCTATCTCATGGAATTTTTATTTCAAATATTTATTTTTCATCTATACATGTCACATTTTTCATTTTATAACTTCTATTTTTCTCCTATGTTCAATTTTCATTTAAGTACCTTGACATATATATGTAGTTATCTATATGTATTTAAAATATATTTACTTTAAGGACCTTGAAATTTCCTTCTTCTCTGTCATTTATAAATGACTTATTTTTATCCTGTTAATATATGTCTTAATTATATATATCTTATGGCTTCTTTGCATGTCAGAGTTTTTTTGGGGGGTATTTTGGTGTTATGCTATTGAATATCTAGATTTGATTGGCTACCTTTGAACAATGTTGTGGCAGGCAGTTCAGTAACTTCAGGATGAGTATTTGTCTGTTGTTGTTTTAAATCTTCTCTTTAAACTTTGTCGAGTTAGTCTAGAGCCATCTGTAATTTGGAGCTACATGAGCACTGTCACTAGGGCATGAACCTCCAGTGGTCTTTTCTGAATATCCTGGAGGTACAGAGGGGATTCCCTTCTCTGGCTGGTCAGAGCTAATGTGTCTTCCTGTCATGTGATGCCAGGGAAATGTTCTTCTTCCAACTCCCTGGTACAGTCCTTTGCTCAGCTCCTTAGAATTTCATCCTATGTACATTTGGCTTAGGGACTTGGGAGAATCCTTAGGCTGATTCTTGGTTCCTTTTTCTGTAAACGTTCTCTTCTACTACACATTCCAGCTGCTTAACCTTTTTTGATTTTTATCGGGTTCCTCAGTGCAATGACAATGTCTGCTCTCTCTGGGATTCCTCTCTACTGCTGTCTCGGAGAATCTGGGAATAAAGCAGGACTCATTCTGGCTCCTTCTCTTCTCTTGCAGAGCAGAGTCCTGTGCTGCCTGATGTTCAGTACTTCAAAAAAATGTTTCATATATTTTGTCCAGTTTACTATTCTTTAACTCTAAAAGTGTAACTCCAGTCCCAGTTGCAGCATCATGTTCTGTAACTCTACTCCTTGTTGCTTCATTCTGCCACTGTCTGGTATGATCTCCCCTTTCCCTTCTGTAATCAGGCCAAGAGCATAATATAATACTAGTTATAACTGCACAGGTTGCCTCCGTTGTGTAAAAAAATCACTGAGACTTAACTGTGTCCAACTTTAAAAATGCGAATATAAGTATAACTAAAGCTATATTTTGGTTAATATTTGCATTGCATGCTTTTCCATTATTTACTTTCATCATATGTGAAATATGAATATAAATTATATAAACTTTTAGAGAGTCCATTTAAAAAATCTTGTCTGGTTATGTTTTACCTGGTTTAATACAACGTGCATTCTTGAATTCAGGGTCTAATATAATTGGTACATCTGTCTATTTGCAAAAAAATAACTTGACAATATTTTAAAATTACTTTATCCAACTCACAACTTATATGCTTCTGCCGTTGTATGGAAGATACATTTTAAACTTTATGAGATAGCATTCTGTTATACAGTCAATATCCAATTAAATTTCTCTCTATGTTTGTTTCTTTCATTAAAAAATTGTTCTTCAAACTGCAAACTTTCATCAGGGATCATGGCTCTTCTACCTGAAGTATAATCTTAAGTATTTCTTTTCCTGTGGGTCTGCTTGGGAGAAATCCTTTATTGTATCTTTGCTTTTGATGGATATGTCCACCAAGTAGACAGTTCTAGGTTAGCACTTATTTTATTTCAGGACTTGAAAGATATCAATACCTCACTTGTTGGCTTTCGTTGTTTCATTTGAGAAAGTTGTTATCAGTCAACTCTTTCTCTTTGTAGTTAGCCCAATTTTTTTTATCAAGTGCTCTTTACATTTTTCTTTTACTTTCCAGAAATTGTCCCATTATGTTTCTTGATGTGTCCTCCGTGTGTGTTTTCATTTGCTTTGAAAAGCCTCCTGAACCTGTCGTTTAATATTATTGGTCAATTTTGATAAAACCTCTAACATTGCCACTTAAAATGCTGTTCAGACAAGCTGTTTTCTCCTTCTTAGATTTCAACGTGTTAGATTATTACTCTATCCTTCATATGTTTTAAATGACCTTTCTCTACAATTTTTCTGGTTGGTATTAGTGTATATTTTGTTATTTTATTCTATTTTATTTTATTATTATACCTTAAGTTTTAGGATACATGTGCACCATGTGCAGGTTTGTAACATAAGTGTTCATGTGCCATGTTGCTGTGCTGCACCCATTAACTCGTCATTTAGCATTAGGTATATCTCCTAATGCTATCCCTCCCCACTCACCCCACCCCACAACAGTCCCCGAAGTGTGATGTTCCCCTTCCTGTGTCCATGTGTTCTCATTGTTCAATACCCACCTATGAATGATAACATGTGGTGTTTGGTTTTTTGTCCTTGCGAGAGCTTACTGAGAATGATGATTTCCAGTTTCATCCATGTCCCTACATAGGACACGAACTCATCATATTTTGTAGCTGCATAGTACTCCATGGTGTATATGTGCCACATTTTCTTAATCCAGTCTATCGTTGTTGGACATTTGGGATGGTTCCAAGTCTTTGCTATTGTGAATACTGCCGCAATAAACATATGTGTGAATGTGTCCTTATTACAGCATGATTTATAGTCCTTTCTGTATATACCCAGTAATGGAATGGCTGGGTCACATGATATTTCTAGTTCTAGATACTTGAGGAATCGCCACACTGACTTCCACAATGGATGAACTAGTTTACCGTCCCACCAACAGTGTAAAAGTGTTCCTATTTCTCCACATCCTCTCCAGCACCTGCCGTTTCCTGACTTTTTAATGATCGCCATTCTAACTGGTGTGAGATGGTATCTCATTGTGGTTTTGATTTGCGTTTCTCTGATGGCCAGTGATGATGAGCATTTTTTCATGTGTTTTTTGGCTGCATAAATGTCTTCTTTTGAGAAGTTTCTGTTCGTGTCCTTCACCCACTTTTTGATGGGGTTGTTTGTTTTTTTCTTGTAAATTTGTTTGAGTTCATTGTAGATTCTGGATATTATCCCTTTGTCAGATGAGTAGGTTGCGAAAATTTTCTCCCATTATGTAGGTTGCCTGTTCACTCTGATGGTAGTTTCTTTTGCTGTGCAGAAGCTCTTTAATTTAATTAGATCCCCTTTGTCAATTTTGGCTTTTGTTCCCATTGCTTTTGGTGTTTTAGACATGAAGTCCTTGCCCAGGCCTATGTCCTGAATGGTATTGCCTTGGTTTTCTTCTAGGGTTTTTTATGATTTTAGGTCTAACATGTAAGTCTTTGATCCAACTTGAATTAATTTTTGTATAAGGTGTAAGGAAGGGATCCAGTTTCAGCTTTCTGCATATGGCTAGCCAGTTTTCCCAGCACCATTTATTAAATAGGGAATCCTTTCCCCATTGCTTGTTTTTGTCCGGTTTGTCAAAGATCAGACAGTTGTAGCTATGTGGCATTATTTCTGAGGGCTCTGTCCTGTTCCATTGATCTATGTCTGTGATTTGGTACCAGTAACATGCTGTTTGGGTTACTGTAGCCTTGTAGTATAGTTTGAAGTCAGGTAGCGTGATGCCTCCAGCTTTGTTCTTTTGGCTTAGGAATGACTTGGCGATACGGGCTCTTTTTTGGTTCCATATTTACTTTAAAGTCGTTTTTTCCAATTCTGTGAAGAAAGTCATTGGTAGCTTGATGGGGATGGCATTGAATCTATAAATTACCTTGGGCAGTATGGCCATTTTCACGATATTGATTCTTCCAACCCAAGAGCATGGAATGTTCTTCCATTTGTTTGTATCCTCTTTTATTTCATTGAGCAGTGGTTTGCAGTTCTCCTTGAAGATGTCCTTCATGTCCCTTGTAAATTGGGTTCCTAGGTATTTTATTCTCTTTGAAGCAATTGTGAATGGGAGTTCCCTCATGATTGGGCACTCTGTCTGTTATTGGTGTGCAAGAATGCTTGTGATTTTTGTACATTGATTTTGTATCCTGAGACTTTGCTGAAGTTGCTTATCAGCTTAAGGAGATTTTGGGCTGAGACAATGGGGTTTTCTAGATATACAACCATGTCATCTGCAAACGGGGACAATTTGACTTCCTCTTTTCCTAATTGAATACCCTTTGTTTCCTTCTCCTGCCTGATTGCCCTGGCCAGAACTTCCAACACTATGTTGAATAGGAGTGGTGAGAGAGGACATCCCTGTCGTGTGCCAGTTTTCAAAAGGAATGCTTCCAGTTTTTGACCATTCAATATGATATTGGCTGTGGGTTTGTCATAGATAGCTCTTATTATTCTGAGATACATCCCATCAATACCTAATTTATTGAGAATGTTTAGCATGAAGGGCTGTTGAATTTTGTCAAAGGCCTTTTCTTCATCTATTGAGATAATCATGTGGTTTTTGTCCTTGGTTAGGTTTATATGCTGGATTACGTTTATTGATTTGCATATGTTGAGCCAGCCTTGCATCTCAGGGATGAAGCCCACTTGATCATGGCGCATAAGCTTTTTGATGTGCTGCTGGATTCGGTTTGCCAGTATTTTATTGAGGATTTTTGCATCAATGTTCATGAAGGATATTGGTCTAAAATTCTCTTTTTTTGTTGTTTCTCTGCCTGGCTTTGGTATCAGGATGATGCTGTCCTCATAAAATTAGTTTGAGAGGAATCCTTTTTTTTCTATTGATTGGAATAGTTTCAGAAGGAATGGTACCAGTTCCTCCTTGTACCTCTGGTAGAATTCTGCTGTGAATCCATCTGGTCCTGGACTCTTTCTGGTTGGTAAGCTATTGATTATTGCCACAATTTCAGAGCCTGTTATTGGTCTATTCAGAGAGTCAACTTCTTCCTGGTTTAGTCTTGGGAGAGTGTATGTGTCAAGGAATTTATCCATTTCTTGTAGATTTTCTAGTTTATTTGCATTGAGTTGTTTGTAGTTTTCTGTGATGGTAGATTGTATTTCTGTGGGATCGGTGGTGATAACCCCTTTATTATTTTTGGTTGCATCTATTTGATTCTTCTCTCTTTTCTTCTTTATTAGTCTTGCTAGTGGTCTATCAATTTTGTTGATCTTTTCAAAAAACCAGCTGCTGGATTCATTAATTTTTTGAAGGGATTTTTGTGTCTCTATTTCCTTCAGTTCTGCTCTGATTTTAGTTATTTCTTGCCTTCTGCTAGCTTTTGAATGTGTTTGCTCTTGCTTTTCAAGTTCTTTTAATTGTGATGTTAGGGTGTCAATTTTGGATATTTCCTGCTTTCTCTTGTGGGCATTTAGTGCTATAAATTTCCCTCTACCCACTGCTTTGAGTGTGTCCCAGAGATTCTGGTATGTTTTTTCTTTGTTCCCGTTGGTTTCAAAGAACATCTTTATTTCTGCCTTCATTTTGTTATGTACCCAGTGGTCATTCTGGAGCAGGTTGTTCATTTTCCATGTAGTTGAGCGGTTTTCAGTGAGTTTCTTAATCCTGAGTTCTAGTTTGATTGCACTGTGGTCTGAGAGACAGTTTGTTATAATTTCTGTTCTTTTACATTTGCTGAGGAGAGCTTTACTTCCAACTGTGTGATCAAGTTTGGAATGGGTGTGGTGTGGTGCTGAAAAAAATGTATATTCTGTTGAATTGGGGTGGAGAGTTCCGTAGATGTCTATTAGGTGCGCTTGGTGCAGAGCTGAGTTCAATTCCTGGGTGTCCTTGCTAACTTTCTGTCTCGTTGATCTGTCTAATGTTGACAGTGGCGTGTTAAAATCTCCCATTATGATTGTGGGGGAGTCTAAGTCTCTTTGTAGGTCACTCAGGAGTTGCCTTATGAATCTGGGTGCTCCTGTATTGGGTGCATATATATTTAGGATAGTTAGCTCTTCTTGTTGAATTGATCCCTTTACCATTATGTAAAGGCCTTCTTTGTCTCTTTTGATCTTTGTTGGTTTAAAGTCTATTTTATCACAGACTAGGATTGCAACCCCTGCCTTTTTTTGTTTTCCATTTGCTTGGTAGACCTTCCTCCATCCCTTTATTTTGAGTCTATGTGTGTCTCTGCACGTGAGATGGGTTTCCTGAATGGAGCACACGGATGGGTCTTGTCTCCTTATCCAATTTGTCAGTCTGTGTCTTTTAATTGGAGCCTTTAGCCCATTTACATTTAAAGTTAATATTGTTATGTGTGAATTTGATCCTATCATTGTGATGTTAGCTGGTTATTTTGCTCATTAGTTGATGCAGTTTCTTCCTAGTCTCAATGGACTTTACAATTTGGCATGTTTTTGCAGTGGCTGGTACCAGTTGTTCCTTTCCATTTTTAGTGCTTCCTTCAGGAGCTCTTTTAGGGCAAGCAAATCTCTCAGCATTTGCTTGTCTGTAAAGGATTTTATTTCTCCTTCACTTATGAAGCTTAGTTTGGCTGGATATGAAATTCTGGGTTGAAAATTATTTTCTTTAAGAATGTTGACTATTGACCCCCACTCTCTTCTGGCTTGAAGAGTTTCTGCCAAGAGGTCAGCTGTTAGTGTGATGGGCTTCCCTTTGTGGGTAACCCGACCTTTCTCTCTGGCTGCCCTTAACATTTTTCCCTTCATTTCAACTTTGGTGAATTTGACAATTATGTGTCTTGGAGTTTCTCTTCTTGAGGAGTATCTTTGGGGCGTTCTCTGTGTTTCCTGAATCTGAATGTTGGCCTGCCTTGCTAGATTTGGGAAGTCCTCCTGGATAATAACTTGCAGAGTGTTTTCCAACTTAGTTCCATTCTCCCCGTCACTTTCAGATACACCAATCAGACGTAGGTTTGGTCTTTTCACAGAGTCCCATAATTCCTGGAGGCTTTGTTTCTTTTTATTCTTTTTTCTCTAAACTTCCCTTCTCCCTTCGTTTCATTCATTTCATCTTCCATCACTGATACCCTTTCTTCCATTTGATTGCATCGGCTCCTGCGGCTTCTGCCTTCTTCACGTAGTTCTCGAAACTTGGCTTTCATCTCCATCAGATCCCTTAAGCATTTCTCTGCATTGGTTATTCCAGTTATACATTTGTCTAATTGTTTTTCAAAGTTTTTTTTTTTATTTTTTTTATTTTTTTATTTTTTATTTATTTTTTTAATTTTTTTTTTTTTATTATACTCTAAGTTTTAGGGTACATGTGCACATTGTGCAGGTTAGTTACATATGTATACATGTGCCATGCTGGTGCGCTGCACCCACTAACGTGTCATCTAGCATTAGGTATATCTCCCAATGCTATCCCTCCCCCCTCCCCCGACCCCACCACAGTCCCCAGAGTGTGATATTCCCCTTCCTGTGTCCATGTGATCTCATTGTTCAATTCCCACCTATGAGTGAGAATATGCGGTGTTTGGTTTTTTGTTCTTGCGATAGTTTACTGAGAATGATGGTTTCCAATTTCATCCATGTCCCTACAAAGGACATGAACTCATCATTTTTTATGGCTGCATAGTATTCCATGGTGTATATGTGCCACATTTTCTTAATCCAGTCTATCATTGTTGGACATTTGGGTTGGTTCCAAGTCTTTGCTACTGTGAATAGTTTAACTTCTTTGCTATTGGTTTGAATTTCCTCCTGTAGCTCACAGTAGTTTGATCATCTGAAGCCTTCTTCTCTCAAATCGTCAAAGTTATTCTCTGACCAGTTTTGTTCCGTTGCTGGTGAGGAACTGCATTCCTTTGGAGAAGGAGAGGCACTCTGCTTTTTAGAGTTTCCAGTTTTTCTGTTCTGTTTTCTCCTCATCTTTGTGGTTTTATCAACTTTTGGTCTTTGATGATGGTGATGTACAGATGGGTTTTTACTGTGGGTGTCCTTTCTGTTTGTTAGTTTTCCTTCTAACAGAAGGACCCTCAGCTGCAGGTCTGTTGGAGTTTACTAGAGGTCCAAGCCAGACCCTGTTTGCCTGGGTATCAGCAGCGGTGGCTGCAGAACAGCGGATTTCCGTGAACCACAAATTCAGCTGTCTGATCATTCCTCTGGAAGTTTGGTCTCAGAGGACTACCCGGCCGAGTGAGGCGTCAGTCTGTCCCTACAGGGGGATGCCTCCCAGTTAGGCTGCTCAGGGTTCAGTGACCCACTTTAGGAGGCAGTCTGCCCAGTCTCAGATCTCCAGTTGCATGCTGGGAGAACCACTACTCTCTTCAAAGCTGTCAGACAGGGACATTTAAGTCTGCAGAGGTTACTGCTGACTTTTTGTGTGTCTATGCCCTGCCCCCAGAGGTGGAGCCTACAGAGGCAGGCAGGCCTCCTGGAGCTGTTGTGGGTTCCACCCGGTTCCAGATGCCTTGCTACTTTGTTTACCTAAGAAAGCCAGGGCAATGGCGTGCCCCACTCCCCCAGCCTCGCTGCCGCCTTGCAGTTTGATCTCAGAGTGCCCTGCTAGCAATCAGCAAGACTCCATTGGCATAAGACCCTCCGAGCCAGGTGCGATACACAATCTCCTGGTGTGCCGTTTTCCAAGCCTGTTGGAAAAGTGCAGTATTAGGGTGAGAGTGACCCGATTTTCCAGGTGCCATCTGTCACCCCGTTCTTTGACTAGGAAAGGGAACTTCCTGACCCCTTGTGCTTCCTGAGTGAGGCAATGCCTCACCCTGCTTCGGATCCCACATGGTGGGCTGCACCCACTGTCCTGCACCCAATGTTTGGCACTCCCTTAGTGAGATGAACCCGGTACCTCAGATGGAAATGCAGAAATCACCCATCTTCTGCATCGCTCATGCTGGGAGCTGTAGACCGGAGCTGTTCCTATTCGGTCTTCTTAGCTCCACCCCTCATTTCATTATTTCATCATTTCATCATTTCACTTCATTTCCTCATTTCATTGCACCATTTCATTTCATCACTTCATCATTTCATTTCCTCATTCCATTTCATCATTTCATTATTTCATTTCATCTCATCATTTCATTTCATCATTTCATTTCATTTCAGCATTTCATTTCATCATTTCACCATTTCATTTCATCTCATCATTTCATTTCATTTCATCATTTTATCATTTCATTTCATTTCATCATTTCGTCATTTCATTTCATCATTTCATTTCATTTCATGTCATCATTTCATCATTTCATTTCATTTCAGTGGTAAATGTATTTAAGTGCTAATGTGAAGCCCAGGAAACACCCTATTTCCCTTTGTAAAACACCTCCTTCAACAAAACTCAACCTCTCATGGCTGGCTAAGTCTACAGGGATACCAGCCTCTCTTCAACCACCCAATTTGATTCAGAACCTCAAACAGCACCTCAATTTCATAAAAACCTAAAACATAAACACAACACTTGGTTGTAAGTGAGCCAACAGTTTCTTGTCTCTTTCTCTGCTGAAGGCTTAAGGCCATGTCTCCCCAACTATGTTCAGTGGAAGAAAAGATCCCCTGGACAAATAAGTTTGAGAACTGTTGTTGCAGGACTTCTGAGAACCTTTAAAACACAAATCCTCATCCGCAGGGATCTTCAGGAGGGAGATGGCTGATGCAGCACAACTTTCTTTCACAGGAGCATCTTGCACAATACAGTATGAGATGCAGAAAGGCTGCACTGAGTCTTTTTAAGGGCCAGGGCCTTTGTGGCGGTGGGGTAGGAGCTCTACAGATAGAATCTAATGAGTAGGAACATTCAGGTTGCTTTTTTTTTCCTTACCGGTAAAACTGTGTGTGCATCATGAATGAAGCTGGTCTCCCTCATCCATATGAAAACTAAACCCAAATTAATTGGCTAAATTGGGACTCAACACCTCCAGGAGCCATGTGGAAGAAAGCCCCACCACACTTTAAAGTAGCTTACCTCATCATATTTGAGGAAAGCAAAACGCTTATGACCAGTATACTGCTAATACAAGTCAACAGATAAGGCTGTATGAAAAATTATTTTTCCCAATCGTAGCTAGCACAGTCCACATTTTGCATTACACCTTCCCTCCTTTTTTAAAATTTTAAACACAGGTCCTTTTCTCTCCTTTTTTTAATTTTTAATTTAATTATACAAGATGGAGTCTCAGTATGTTGCCCAGGCTGGTCTTCAACTCCTGAGATCAAACGATACATCCATCTCTGCCTCCCAAAGTGCTGAGATTACAGGCCTGAGACACTGTGCCCGGCCTTAAACACAAATCTTATTCATTCTTACAATTACCCTGAGGTTAGAAAAATGGAAGGGGAAGAAAAATGGCAAGCAGGTAGGCTGACTTCGGCTTCATTATTTGGAAGGACAGTTTGCTTGGTTAAAACACACTACTGCCTACAAAGGCCAAGACAACAGAAAAATACAGACATATAAATAGATTTTATATGTGACAGCAGTTTGAATGGAGACTTTTTCAATGCAAATGGCAAACAGCTGTCCTTGGGAATAAATGACAGCGAATTTTTTTTATCTCAACAGCTGTCCTGAGAGCATGTCTCTACATCTCTACCTGCATTCTGGAGTCAGGGAGAAAGCCAAAACGGACGACAAGACACTAGATCAGCCCTGTCCAACCCTTTGACTACAAGGATATTTCTGCCTATCTGTGGTGGTGGGTATCATGAAAATTATGCACAAACTTTTTTTTTTTAAGCTCATCAGCTATCATTAGCAGTAGTGTATTTTATCTGTGGCCCAGGAGCATTCTTCTTCCAATGTGGCCCTGAGAAGCCAAAAGACTGGACACCTGTGCACTAGATCAAATGGCTACTCCTTCTGGAAGCAATTGTAAAGAATTTCTGACATTATCTTGACATGAAAACCAATGGATAGTGGGACAGAATGCAAAATCTTCAAGAATTTTTCTTGTTGATTTTTTTTTTCTTGAGTCAAGGTGTTGCTCTGTGGCCCAGGCTGGAATACACTGGTGAGATCACAGCTCAGTGTAGGCTCAAGTGCTCCTCCCACCTCAGCCACCGTAGTAGCTAGGACTACAGATGCGCACAACCACTCCTGGCTAACATTTTATTTTTTATAGAGATGGGGTCTCATTATATTGTCCAGGTTGGTCTCAAACTCCTTGACTCAAGGGATCCAGGACAGGATAACAGGTGTGAGCCACCACACCTTGCTATGTGCATGAACTTTTAAGACAAATACAAGGCTCCACAAAAGTTAAGGTTTCCCACCTAATTTCCAGGGGATCTTTTGGTGCAAGGATGAGAAACCCTTAAAAGTACACAGACATCTCCAAAGATTCAAGACAGTTCATTCAGGCTGAGCCAGCCCACTGGGCAGACTGTCTTTCAAACAAGGCTCACCCATGACATACACCAGACGGCTCTCCAAGAATCTCTCCAGTTCTCAGGGTCCCTAAGGTACTGGACAGAGCTAGGAAAGCAAACCCATTTGCTTCTTCCTGCAGGAAACCCCTTGAGGTCAAGACCCCACAATCAGATGAGGATGGAGTGGCTCACCCTCAGTCAACAGGCCAGACTCAAGGTGGTATAATGTCTTAACCAAGGGTGTGGGACTCCAGGTCTGAATCCGAACTCAGTTCTCCTTTGATATCCACACTTTGTTAATTTTCCTTAACAGGGGTTCCTGGCAAGTCATTTCTCCCTCAGGCCTTCGGTTTCCTCACCTACAAGATGAGAAGGCTGCACCAGATGGAAATTCGGGGCGTAAGGGGATGTCCGCGCGCAGCCCACCCCGCCCACGGGCCCCTCGAGCTTCCATCACAGTTCCCAACACGCACCCGCCCCACAAATCCTGCCCAAGGTGAGGGCTGGTCCTGGGTCCTCCGGCTCCAACATCAGCGAGTGCAGGAGGGAGGAGAAGCCTCCAAGGGGGTGACACGGGCTCAAGGATGCAACTCGGCCAGGAATGAACTGGGGCCCCGAGGGAGATGTCCAGTCCGTTGCTGGAACCCAGCCCTGGTCCCCAACCCCCTAACCTGCAGGGTCCATATCTCCTGCTGGGTGACGTCCTTGGACACAGCACACTTGGTGCGCAGCCCATGCAGGCTGCCAACGGAGATGCCGATGAGCTTCTGGAGCTGCCCGCACTGCTGCAGCACCCGGCTGGCTGCGGCCCCTGCGCCTCCCTCTGCAATAGCTGTGTCACCCCCTCCACCGCTCTCCTTCTTCCCTCCCATCGGGGCCGAGCGCAGCGCCGCTCTATGCAGGCTGCAGCGGCCCAGGAACAGAGCCTGGGGCGCGGGTGTCTAGGCAAGGAACCCCTGAACCGGGAGAGCTGGACCAGGAGTGACCCTGGTCCTTAGCCAGGAGTCCGGTAGATCTGGCAGCCGAGTCTGCCGATCCCGCCCTCAGACCCGCGGCGGTTGGGGCAAAAAGCCACGGCGGTGGGGGCAAAAACCCGCGATGCCGGGGTGAAAAAGCCGCAGCGGTAAAAACCTGTGGCGGTGGGAATAAAAAGCTGCGTCGGCAAAAAGCCGCGGCGGCGGGGAAAAAGCCGCGGTGATGGGGGCAAAATCCCGCGGCGGCGGGGGCAAAAAGCCGCAAAAAGTTGCGGCGGCGGGCGCAAAAAGCCGCAACGGTGGGGTCAAAAAGCCGGGGCGGTGGGGGAAAAAGCCGGGGCGATGGGGGCAACATGCCACGGCGGCGGGGGCAACAAGCCATGGCGGCCGAGGCAAACAGCCGCGGCGACAAAAAGCTGCGGTGGCGGGGGCAAAAAGCCGCGGCGGCGGGGGCAAAAAGCTGCGGTGATGGGGGCGAAAAGCCATAAAAAGCCGCATCGTCGGGGTCAGAAAGCCGCGACAGCGGGGTCAAAAAGCCGCGGTGGCGGGGTAAGAAGCCACGGCGGCAAAAAGATGTGGCGGCGGGGGCAAAACGGTGCGGCGGCGGCATAAAGCCGCGGCGGCGGGGGCAAAAAGCCTCAAAAAGCCACGGTGTCTGGTGCCAAAAGCTGCAAAAAGCCACGGCAGAGTGGGTAAAAAGCCCCAAAAAGCCGCGGCAGAGGGGGCAAAAAGCAGGGACGGCAAAAAGCCACGACGGCGGGGGCAAAAATCGGCTGGGGTGATAAAAAGCTGTGGCGGAGGGGGCAGGAAGCCACGTAGGGGGCAAGGAGGCGCGGCGGCGAGGCCAAAAAGCCGCGGCGGCAAAAAGCCACAAAAAGCCGGGGAGGCGGGGCAAGAAGCCGCGGCGGGAAAAACCTGTGGCGGCGGCGGGGGCGTAAAGCAGTAAAAAGCCGCGGCGCCGGGGGCCAAAAGCCACAAAAAGCCATGGCGGTGGTGACAAAAAGCCGCGGCAGAAAAATTCGCGGTGGCGGGGGCAAAAAGCTGCGGCAGCAGGGGGAAAAAAGCCGCAAAAAGCCGCGGCGGTGAGGGTAAAAAGCTGTGGCTTCTGGGGCAAAAAGCCGCGGCGGCGGGGGGAGAAAGACGCAAAAAGCTGCGGGGACAAAAAGCCACGGCGGCGAGGGCAAAGAGCCCCAAAAAGCCTTGGCGGCAGGGGCTAAATTCCGCGAGGCCGGGGGCAGAAAGCCACGGCGGCGGGGGCAGAAAGCAACAAAAACCCGCAGCGGCGGGGTCAAAAATCCACGGCGGCAAAAAGCCGCGTTGGCGGGGGCAAAATAGTCGAAATCGGGTAGAATGCCAGCACAGCTTGGCATTCCTGGAGTGTGATGTGGAAGGAAAAGTGCAGAGGAAGACAAACAAAGATGTAAGTAGGCTTGACTCAGTGCAGCTAAGAACCCACATGTTATCTTGATGTTATCTATCAGCTAATTTTTTGTATTTTAGTAGAGAAGGGGTTTTACCACGTTGGCCAGGATGGTCTCGATCTCCTGACCTCATGATCCATGCACCTCAGCCTCCCAAAGTGGTGGGATTAGAGGCATGAGCCACAGGGTGCTCAAAAAATCTATTAATTAAAAAATGTGTATGTAGCCGTCTTTAATCTACCATGTCCATTAGCAGATAAATACTATAAGCAAAATAACAACAGTGAAAGAAACATAGACTTAGAGTAGATACTCTGATTTATTTAATAAAAATTTGAAAATAGACCAAATTACTCTATGATAAAATTTGTTACTATTGAGGATGAGGGTTAGTGTTTGGAAAGGGGCAGGAGAAGTATCTCTATTTTTAGTAATGTTCTATTTTCATACATGGTTATAAGCAAATACATGTGTTTCATTAATGAAGCTATCCATATTTAATCATTGTACTTTTCTGCATGTATGATATATGTCAATAAATGTCTTAAATTATATACAGCAAAAATAGAAAAAAACACAAGAAGACATACACAAATGTTAAACCTAGAGAGAAATTTGAATATAAGTAAGTCTTTGAATGACTGATAGAACAAACCGAAAAATAGGATGGAGAGGTTTGGAACAGCATGATTAGCAAAATTGACATATCTGTCTTTTAATATAGGTAGAAACATAGTTAGATAAAAAAAGGACTTGTCTCGGAGCATGATTTCTGAAAATAGTGGAATCGAGTTTGAATCTAGTAAGTACATATAAATAAATGTCTTAAAACTCCTCTTATGTTAGCTAATTAAGAAATATTATTGTAATAGACATTAGAAAATATTTTAATAAATTGAGTGCATTTCACACGCTAAGGAAATGATCTTACTTGCATTTGATAGTTCAACTAGATACATATATACCTATAGGTATTTTAAAATATTTCTAATAACCTTATATACTTTTAAAAAGCATTGATATATGTGTGCACTATCTGGTCTATAGAGTACACATACCAAACATGATTATAGCTCTTCTGCTATAAACTTCAAATGTCTAATTAATACAAAAATCTAGAATGAGAAGAGTTCTTTGCAATTTTTTTTTTTACCAAATAGAATATAGGAAAGATAGCTGCAAATATACCTGACACACTTAACTGTGAGTATGGTGGTAGCCTTTTTATTTTATTTTATTTTGAGAGAGGGTCTCACTTTGTCACCCAAGATGGAGTGCAGTCATGTGATCAGAGCTCACTGAAGCCTTCACATACTGTGTTCAAGCGATTCTCCCACCTCAGTCTCCTGAGTAGCAGGGACTGCAAGTGCATGACACCATACTAGCTAATTTTTGTAAAGATAGGGTTTCACCATGTTGCCCTGGCTGATCTCCATCTCCTGGACTCAAGAGATCTGGCCACCTTGGCCTCCCAAAGTGCTGGGATTATAGTTTTGGGGCACCGCGATCAGCCCAGCCTTCAAAAAGGCAGACTAGAGATCTTTATCTATGTATATCTATATGTATCTATAAAATAAACATATGTGTTCCTTATGTAAAAATATATATTATTAATATTATATAAAAATTTTTTTCGAGGTAGAAATATATAAAGAGGGTGCATGTAGAGCCTGGGTCATTGTGTAGTGAAGCTCAAGGCCTCTGAAGAAATGCCCCTTGCCTCTTGTGTCTGGGCTAGAATCTGAGAAGGGAAAGCAACAGATGCACTGGTTCCCAGGTTCTTGGCATCCTACAGAGAGAAACTTGTTTGAGCTAGGGTAGTGTTTAACACCCTTGTTCTTACACTTCTGTTTTATGTAGTAAGCAGAGACTAGCTTCATGAGAACAGACAGTGACAGTCAAGGCTGTCTGTTATTTTGTGCAGCATTAATTGAGAAATTCTAGCTCCTGAAGACCTCTGGGCCATTTGAGGGTAGGTGCAGGGGAGGAAAGGGAAGATTGCATCCCTCCTGCTGTGGAGAGAACCCGTGGGAAGCACAGACCTTGTCCTAACTGAAGGCACACCCCTTGCTAACCAGCTTCTCATCAGCCAACCCTGGATGAGTTTCCATGTCTATTTACTAAATAATCCTTATTGCTCTTCTTCATATGGGCAAAGTATGGTTTACAGGGAATATTGTTCCTTTGAGCACCCATCGTGGAAACCCCTTCCTGTCGTGGGAAAACAGTCTTCCATATGTGTCTTATTGGGAAACACATAGGCAGTTTCTGTTTTTACTGCATCTATTTCAGGGATATGGGAACTGAATAGTGCCCATCAAAGTCTCACCTGATGTTGGAAATTGATCTGAGAGCGCGGAAGGACAGAATTCTTTCTTTGTTCCTGGGCAGCGGTGGTTGAGGGATCATTTTGTGGCAGCTACAGTGGCAATGATGGAGGCAGAATGGAGGTCTCAGTACCAAGACAAGGAGAGACTTGGCCTCACAATGGCAGCATTGCAGGGGTGCGCTCTACAGAGCATTTGCTCACATGGTTTTGGGCATTGTCTCTAACTACATTGCTTCCCCAATAGGTTGACCCATTCTAACTAACTCCTTTTCTCTTTAAAAAGCAAACTTCATTTGTATGACTTGCAATTGTAAACGACACCAATTGGCCAGTTATCGTTCAAATTCTCTGTTACTTAATCCTGGCTTTTCCTGACGTATGCAACTTTCACCTAAAAAATTGGACACTTTGTTGCTTACTCATTGTCTTTACACATTTTAAAATGTTGCTTTGTGCCCCCAATCCCTGACTACATTTTCAATGTTTTGCAAGTGGAGTCCGTGTGTTCTTGATTTACATGAAGCTCAAAATAATGGGTATAGTAACTAGTACTTCATAATTAAGCAAAAAGCTCTTATTGAAAAATGACAGAACTATACATAGGGATGAGAACATGGAGAGATATTTCGTGAGATCACAAAGTTATGGTATGGCAGAAGTAGAACGCTGAGTAGAGACTCTGTGTTCCCAATCATTATTTCTGCCACCAGCTTTCTATTTTGATGTTAATAATGTTCTTATGTGGGAAACCCTACATATTTGCCAATGTTTAGTTCATTGACAAAGAAATAGAAAGAGCTTCAAGAACACTCTAATCTTTAAAAAAATAAAATACCTATAATTGGCCATACGAAAAAAATTGGTACTTGACATATACTGAGATCGTTTTATTTTGTGCTAGACAAATGAAGTCATAGAACAGAATGTGCTTTAAATATTATGAATAGTGCTTGCATGTGTGTGTGTCTATAGATGCATATTAGGCCGCTGAAAAGTTTTATTATTCTTTCCAGGAGAGAGACTGCCAACTTTTGAACCTAACTAGAACAAGTATATTGTTTCTTCATATTTTTATTAAGGCAAAGAGAGTCTAGTTAAAAATAATTCAAATTGTCGTGGAAATGCTATAAATTGCTGTGAAGTGAGTTGCTGGCTATGGCTTGTCAGAGCAAATATATTGTACAAACCTTAGGGGAGAATTAGTGCTTGTGCATTAAAATCAAATCATCTTGCAGCACACTGAGAAAAAGGTTAGATTTTTAAAATAATTTTAAAGTCATGAAAAGAGCAAATATGCTCCACAAAGAGCCTAGCAACCCTCAATGACCAATGCCCGTTTTATGTAGTTTGGTATCTGAATTAGAATCCCAGAATCTACAAATTCCTCTGCGTGTGGGTGCTGCATTTGAGGATTTTATAACACTGCCATCACCAAGCTCTCTTTTGATATTCACTTTAAGGAGATAATTTACGGGCAACCAGAGAGCATAAACCAAAGTAGATATCTATCTAGATAGCTAGATACATCTCCATATGATTGACAGGATACATTCTGGCCGAGTGTGAGTACAACCTATGGATGTGGTTGGAGAGAAAAGTGTTCCACCTGAATGGCAGATCAGGATTATTCCTTCTCATCTGCTGCAATGGCTCAATGTGTTAAGGAGAGGAGCGAGACAGCAAGAACCGCATTCATTCAGTCATACAGACCAAAAGGAGGAATGTCGCCCAGCCCTCTAAACTGACCCAGAACCCAGCTCATGTCTCAACTGCTACCTCTCCTACTTAGAAAGAAGTAACTCCACCAAAGCAGGGTTCTGGACAAATATATTTTTATTGATCATATACAAATAGATGAAGATGGACTTGGATGTTAAGAAAAATAATACTATACAAAATCGAGAGTAGACACAGTCGCCCCTAGACTTAAATTAAGGGTGTGTACATTAGATAATTTAATCCAATGTGTCAGGTAAAAACTTGAACAAACCTTTTGGCCTCTCCCTTAAAATTCAGGGAAGCATGTCCTCCAAAAAACAGAATCAAAATATAAATAAAAGACTGGCTTAAGATGAAAGGAAACCTTACAAATGAAAAGAAGCCAGATGAGAGGCACTTAACTGAGAATGAAAAGAAACTGAATGGACAAAATAATTATGAGAAGATGAACCTTCAAATCAGAAAGAGGGCAAACAGCTTATTTGATACTATGGGAACTCAAAAGAGAGTGAACACAAATGTGAAAATTCCAGGAGTAAAGAAAAGTAGCATAGCTAAATGAAGAGCATGAGAAAATGTATAAAATTTTGAGTAATAAGAACAGAAATCAAAAGTAACTATTGTATGTTATATTTTAGTAGAGCAACACTGAAGAAGAATGAAAGCAAGAAATAATATTAAATATGAACATATGGAGGACAGAATAATATTTTTAAAATTTTTAGTTTCTAAGCTTCTCTGAAATTTTGATTTTGTTTTCTTATGTAATACCAGAGTTATTAGGAAGGTATTATCTAATAACACTATTTTCAGTGAGATATTTTAAGTAGTTGTCCTAGAAAAATTTTATTTTTTAAAAATGTATATTTAAAAATACATTAAATGTGTATATACCTCATATGTTTCGATTTCTATTTTTCTTGAATTGCAAATGAAATTTGTATTTTTGTGTTCCTGGAACAAAATAAACTTGAATGGATTGTAATATGTTATTCATGCTGTAATTCAATGTATTTGAATACTTTAAAAATGTTACATTTATAGTTAACAGATACTGACCTATAAATTTTCTGTCTTATAATGATGCTGTGAGACAATCTAAGAAGAATTAAAATTTAAATTCATGTATTCCTACTTTTTTCTCTGTTCTCTAACTGTAATGTATTTTAATTACAGATGGAGGAACAGATAGATGTTAGATAAATAGATATATAATAGATAGATCATCCAAAATTCTTATTCTTATGGTTTTATGTAGTCAGTATTTACCTCTATTTTTCTACATGTTTATCCTTCCAATTTAGTTCATTACTTCCTGCACCTTTGATGTCATATATATAAACAGGAAACAACACATGGTGGCCGGGATGTAGAGAGGGCCACAGGAATTGTGAATAAAATCCACAGGCAAGGATGTGGCGATTCATTTTGCAATATTGGAGGGAATGCCAAACCCTATGTTTGCTGTGGAAAAGAGTATGGTAGTTCCTCAAAACATCAAAATGGTATTGCCTTATGATTCGGCAGCCCCACATCTCAAGATAGCAAAAGAATTCAAAGCAGAGTATTGAAAAAATATTTGCACATCCATGTTTGCATGCACCATTATTGGCAATAGCTAAAACGTAGAAGCAATTGAAGTGTTCAACAACAGATGAATGGATAAGCAAAACATGATACATACATACAATGGAAAATTATTCAGCCTTAATCATGAGGGAAATATACTGACATATATTGCAACTTGGATGAAACTTGAGGATATTATGCCAAGTGAAATAAGTTAGTCAGTGAAGGACAAATACAGTATAATTCCATTTGTATAAGAGACTTAAAAGGGACAGAATCACAGAGATACTAAAACGATGATTGCCAGAAGCTGGGGAGAGGAAGACATGGGGAAATACTGTTTAATGGGTATAGAGTTTCAGTTTCACAAGTTGAAACGAGTTATGGAGATGGGTGGTAGTGATGGCTGCACAATGTTATGACTCTAGTACCACTGAACTGTACACTTAAAATGGTTAACAGAGTACATTTTATGTTATGTGTATTTTACCACAATAAAAAAATAAACTACCTTAGGAACATTTTCCTGAAAGAGTCCACATAAAATTCATTTTAATGCATGTGTTTATGCATAGCTTTCTATTTTTCTCTTTTCTATTTATATTCCAAATTAGAATATAATGCTAATCAAGCATTGTGGCTGTGTTTCTTGCTTCCTCTAGTCTGCAGGTAGCGTACAAATGTAATAAACTACTCATGAATGTCACACCTATTTATTTTCTGCCTTATACCAAGCTTGTGGGATTCTCTTAAATACAACATTTTTATACTTACACCTATGCAATACCCATTAGCATCGCCTTCCTAAATCAGGGGGAATTGAGTCTCTGTAAGGTGCAGTAACTTACTAAGATACAAAACTTAGCATTAAAGTCTGTATACTTCAATATCCTGCCCTCTTCTCATTTGTCTTTACTGCCTTTTATGTATGTGTTAGATGTTCAATAAATTCTCTTTTTTAAACCGAATTTAAGCAGTGGAGCAGTGTTTTGTTGAACAATAAATATGATATTGGACACTCTTCCTCCCTTTCATTTATGATGCAGTTCATGAAAAAGAGAAATACTTTCATTGTGCTAGAAGCTTAAAATAATGAAAACGCCGCTTTCTACATTAAACAGAAACTGAAGGGAATCAAGGTGAATTGCATGAGACATAGAAAACAAGTGGGAAATAAATCTAGTATAATTTCCCCTTTGTGTACCTTTGTTATTTAGCATTTGAGAAAATGTTTCCCTCAAATATCTTCCCATATAAATTCATGTTTATAAAGTAGACATTTATGTCTCACCTTGTCAAGAAGGGCAATCTCTAACATAAACATTTCCCAAAAATGCTTCCTGCTAAAACGTAAGCTCAGTCTGGCTTGAATTTAAGCTCACTTCATAACAAAAAGTTGGTAGCTAATCTTTGCATGCTGTTCTCTGAACTTGAGTGAAAGCGGTCCATCAGGCATACAGGGAATGACGGAAAAGGTGACAACAGAAGATGAATGCTATGTCACTAACCTTCAAAGATGACCTGCCTTTTCTTTCAAATTCTTGATATCTTAAGACTTCATTAATTCATCTCTCTTTGCCCTTGGTGCAACATTGTGCTATACCAAAACTCATGTAAAACAATGATCTAATGTAATAAAAATGGCATTTTTCTTTCATGTAGATGCAAGCTATCTGGCATTTTTACAATCAACATACTTCCGTTGTCAATTTTTCATTCTGTATTGGAACTAATTGATAGGTATTTCTGAAGGGATGAAGGTGTTTCTGTGTTCATTGTGATCCAAACGTTTTTTAGACCTAGTGGTGTTGGTAAAACAACTTGTGCCAGCTGACCAAGGACCACTGTGGCAGAAAGCAGCAAACTTGCATAAGATGTCGCTGCCTCATCAGTTGGCTTTGAAAACTAGGGGCTTATTCTATAGACCTATGAATCAAAGACATTGATAGATGTAGTATAAGATTAAAATCATATTTTCCTTTTGACAGTCACATTATAAAGCATGATGTATTGCAATTAATCTCAATTAGCTGATGACAATTAAAATTAATAGTTTATTATTGCTGATAAACAATCATGACTCTCCTGTTCTCAAATGTGCAAGGAATTCTTGTAATTTTAATACAAATTTGCATATTATTACTAATTGATTTAATCTCATTGGATTTGGTTCATGGATCCAATTTATTAAAATATTGATAATGGGATAATGATTTGTCTCCTCATTTCATTTACACTAAAAGATACAATTCTTACAATGCTCTGCAAGCCCATCGTGATCTGCCGCATGTTAACCGCCAAAATTCTTTTATGTCTTCACCCTTGATCTTACCAGTGGTCCTGGCCACCTCACTGTCCTCTGGACATGCCAACATGCTGCTGTCTTATGACCAAGACTCTAGTTAATTTCTTGGCTTTGAAAGATAACCTTCCATATATGCATTGATCAGCTCATTCAACTTCCTCAAGTCTTTACTGAAACCTCACATTCTCGATGAGACCTATTCAGTATTTCAAACTGCCTCCCAGCTGCAACATTCCAAAACCCATTAGTCTTTTGTGTATTTTTGAAAGGATTTATTGAGATATAATTTACATACTGTAGAGTGCGCATATTAATGTCTACAAGTCAATGGCTTTTAGTATATACACAGATAAGTGGAGCCATCAGCACAATGAATTTTAGAGCATTTTCATCACTTCAAAAAGAAACCCCACCTTCTCTAGCTGTTACCCTCCTATGCACTCATCCCCTACTCAATCCTAAGCAACCACAAATCTGTATACTCTGGGGGTATACCTAGGAATACATTTCTGGGTCATATGACAATTCTATGTTTCATATATTTAGAAGCCATCAACCTATTTTCCAAAGTGGCCAGTTCTAGCCATAGAGTATTTAACTGTGGTTTTGATTTGTAGTTGCCTGATGAGTGATGTTGTTGAGTATGTTTTTATGGGATTATTGACCGTTCGTGTATCTTCTTGGGCTACACATCTATTCCTATCATTTATCAGTTTTGAGTTGGGATTTTTGTTACTGAATTAAAACAATTTTTCTATATTCAAGATACATATATATGCAGACATATAGATATGTGTTTCTCAAATATTTTCTCACAATTTTTGAGCTGCCTTTTGACTTGCTTGGTTGTCCTTTGAAACACCAATGTCTTTAATTTTTAAGAAATTTTAAATATCTAATTTTTATTTTGTTGCTCATGTTTTTGGGGTTACAGATATTTCTTTGCTAGATCCAAAATCCTGAAGATTTTTGCATATGCTTTATTCAAGCTCTTGCATGCATGTCTTTAATTCATTTGAGTTAATATTTTTGTATGCTTTGGGGTAAGGCTTCCAATTTACTATTTTGCAAGTGGCGATCCACGTGTACATTGTTGACCCAGTTTGTTCAAAGACTGTCTCTTCCTCATTGAATTGCACATGGCACCACTTTAAGAATCCATTGACTATAGATACATAGTTTTATATATGGACTCTCAATTCTCTTCCATCAATCTATATATTTTTCCTTCATCAGTATTTTGTTGTCTTGATTACTGATGCTTTGCCGTAAGGTTTGGAGCACGGGGGTGTGAGTTATCCTAATATGTTTTCTTTTATCAAGACTATTTTGGCTATTTTGAGTCCCTTACAATCCCATGTGTATTTTAGAATCAGCTTGTCCGTTTCTAGACAGAAGTCTGTTGGGATACTTGCAGGGATTACGTCAAATCTGTAGTTCAACTTGCAAAGTACTACAATATTAAATCTTCCAGTTCATGGGTGGAAGATGTTTGCTAATTATTTAGATATTCTTTAAACAATAATTTTTAATTTTCAGAGTAAAATCTTGTATCACATTTTCCAAATTAATTATTATTTATTTTTTTGATGCTATTTTAAATTGAAGTGTTTTCTTAATTTCATTTTGGGGTTTTCATTGTAGGTGTGTGCAATTGATTTTTTTGTACATTTATCTTGTATGCTGTAATATTGCTGAAATAATTTACGAGTTCTATCGTTCAGTGGATTCCTTAAAATTTTCTATATACAAGAATGTTATTTTCAAATAAAATTTTATTTCTTCCTATTCAATATGGGTGACTCTTTTTTTTTAGTTGCCGATTTGCCCTGCATAAAATCTTTAGTACAGTGTTAACTAGAAGAGGTCCAATTATATATCCTATTCTTATCTCTGACCATAGCGGGAAAGCATCCTTTACCATTAAGTTGCATGCTTGCTGTTGGCTTTTCGCAGGTGCCATGTATCTGGTGTAGAAAGTTCTCTCTTCCTGGTTCATTGAGTTTTTATTTTTATTTTTAATCATTAAAGCATTTGGATTTTGTTAAATGTCTTTTCGGAATCTATCGAGATGATCATGCAGTTCTCGTTTCTTATTCTATGGATAAGATGTATTACCTTAATGGATTTTGGGCTGTTAAACCAACCTGAGATTACTAGTATAAATTTCACCTTGTCATAGTGTATAATTCTTTTATATGTTGCTAGATCTGATTTTTTAGTATTTTTTAAGGAATTTTGCATTTATACTTATAGTAGTTTTATTTTTCTATGCTATTTGGACTAATTTTTGTATCAAGGTAACACTGGCCCCACAGAATAAATTGGGAAGGGAATATTTCTCTTTTTAAAAAAAGTCAGTCAAGAATTAATATCAATTAGTCAATACTAACAAATATGATTAATATTATAAATTATTAATTTCTCTAATTTTTATTTTCTTCCTTCTGCTGGCTTTAGGTTTATTTTGCTATACTTTCCAGTGCCTTAATGTGGAAGGTCATCTTATCTCCTCCTTTCCTTTGTCTTTTCATTTTCTAAATAGTGTCTTTTTAGCATCAGGTGAGCTCCCCAGGTTGGTAGTACTCCATGTTTATTGCTGTACAACAATGACAGGTAATATGTCCTGAAGACAATGGAAAATTAACATTCAAAATCCTCCTAGATTCCACCTTATGTGAAATGTCTCTTCCTTTGGTTGGTCCTAATTTCTACCCTTTCTCTATTATAAACTATGAGTACAATGGCATTCAATGAGTTCTGTGAGTCTTTTTAGTAAATTCTTGAAACTGAGGGTGTTCTGGGGAAACCCCTGAACTGGCAGTTGGTGACAAAAATGCGAATCATCTTATATGGCCTCTTCCTTTGAACTTTGCAGCTGGACCCAAACTCTGCACAATTTGGGCCAGAAGCCTCGTGTTGACTTTGCAGCCTAAATTATCTTGTAGTTTGTCTAACCCTCAATAAATTTGCTTTCATCAAATATTGTATTTGTTACCCCAAAATTACTATCATGTTTCTTTTCTCCAAATAACTAACATTGGGAGAAATAGCCAGCTGAATCTGTAACTCAACAGAAACATGTGATCCATATACCATATAAGTGGCCATTTCATTTTGCCTTCTTCCACCAAATCTTAGCAACCTCAACCATTGCCATGAGCCACTGTAGGCCTACCGTCTACAAACAAACAAGTATCATTTGAAAACACTTCATAATCCCATTTGATAAATTTCCCAGCAAAGAGATGCTTACTTTAACTCTATGCAAGTGGCTCATATTCGCAAAGTCTGGAGATATTATTCAGGTAGTGTGAGAAAATCTTCCCAGCGATTCCAGCACATTCTCCTTCCCATGATCTGCTTAGTTTGCAAACATATTCAGGCCATAGGTTAGAGATTTGTATTTCACAGTACAACAATGTTATGGAGGTCATTGAAACTTAGATTGAGCATTTCAGCACAGTCACGCATCACTGAATGACAGGGATACGTTCTAACATATGCATCCATAGGCAATTTCATCATTTTGCAAACGTCAGAGAAAATATTACAAACACCTAGTTTGTACAGCCTACCACGTTTAGGTTATATGGTATAACCTCTCTCTCCTAGGCTACAAACCTGTGTACTACACTACTATACTGAATACTGCAGGCAATAAGAACACAGTGGTAAGAGTTTATGTATGTAAACATACTTAAACATAGAAAAGTATGTAAAAATATGTATTATAATCTCATGGGACAACTTTTGTATATGTAATCCACCTTTGACTGAAATATTATTATGCATGACATGACTCTATGACAAAAATAATACATTTTAAAAAATGTACACATGTATCATATTATAAAAATAAAGATATTTATTCAGTGTAAGAATTTGTAATGATCACAGCTTATATTTAAGTACAGTTTCAAATGCCTAGTGCAATTACTGTTTATTTCTTTGTGTATTTTAAACATGTATATAATAAATATTTTTCAGGTTCAACAATATATATCAATCCTACAGGCTCTTATAAATATTAGTTAAAATCAATTGGTAAATTCATGTATATATATGCATACCTGTATCAGTGAGCGTGTGTGCATGTATGCTTGTGTAAATGTAATTGTATGTGTGTGTAAATGTAATTGGATGCGTCCTTATATTTACCCTTACCTACAAGATTTCCAAGATTCATTTATGATCTTTAGATGATGGGCATTTAAAGATGTACCAAATACAACTGTAATAGTGGAAAATATCAAGATGTTATTAAATTCATCTTGTGCACATAATTGTTGCTATAAATTTGTTTCTTGCAAAACTTGCAGTAATGCTCATGCACAAAATAATTTTCTAAATAAAAAATAAAAACGTTTTATCGGTCATTAATTCTTGAAATTATTTCTCCCCAATAATTAATGTGAATTAATTCTTAATTCTTAATTAAAGAATAATGTTGCCCTTCAGAGTTCGGAAATTTTTACATGTTGTACACATTTCACTAACCAGAACAACTTCTGAAATATTGGCATTAATTACTGTCACTCAGCAATTATTGATTTCAAAGGCATTAAATACCATTCATATTCTGAATCACAAGGGTACTTTGGCATCTTATTTAATCAAGCTCTTTGTATCATCATCTACACTTTAATTACTTAACAAACATTTCTCTGTGTGAGAAAGTTTGAGCAGGTTATTGTGCTTTTTTAAGATGCAACTTTTGCTTAATCTAGAGATAGGCAATGCTCCCTATAAGGGACAAGGAGAAAAATAAATGAGCAATAGAGATGTGACAGGCATGGAAAAAGACAGTACATTTATCAAACAAATAGGGCCATGGATGACGATAATGGGGATCAAATCTTGAGATACCGACTCAGTTTATAACCACACTGTATAATAGAGCAAATCATTTGTTAACTTTTTTACAAATGGAATTTAATTTAATTAAGATGAATACAGTGTTTTAAATAAGGCAGGTCTTCTTAAAATAAAATAATGGAATAAAGTGATAAAACCAAAGTAAAAATCGTAAACATTTTATAAATAATTTTTGTCATGTAACTTAATATTTTTGTTCATTTAAAATCACCCAAATCAAAATAATTTTATCTTAATTAACAAATAATCATCAGAAGTTTAACTAATTTTTACTTTATGAAACTAGGTTTAAAAATTATTAACTATATTTTTAATCACATATGCTTCTATATAAAATAGACATAGGATATATATTTACATGTTCACAATATTATATTGTAATTGCTCCTATGGATGTGGTTTTTCAATAGAATTAATAAGTACTTTTAAAAAGTTTCCATTTCAATGATGTATATGATTGATTTTTCTTAGACAAAGCATACATATATTGATAGGTAATAATATGAAAATCTTCTAAAGGCATTACAGGAATACGAAAATGTAATTAAATACTCACTAGTTTCTAATGTTTTATGTAAGCGGAACACTTTTAACTGAAAATTGCTTTTATATTAATACTGAAACGAGACTAAAAACTTTTTAACCAGTGGAGTAACTATTCAAATTGATAATCTGAACTATATAAGAGGAGAAACTTCAGGCACTCTAATATTTGAAATGCTACAAAATATTTATATAAGCTATTATTTCACAATTTCTGTTTGTAGAGTGCTATACAGTAATCAATATAAACGACATCCCAAATCTTTCTATAGCTTTGACCACATTTACATCCTAATTTTAATTATTAATACGTTGGAGCAGTGCATACAACTAGATTCTGATCTTCCTTTTTAATGAGTAAAAATATGCCCTTTGAGACAGCATTAAAGAAAGAGCACCTTGTATAAATTCAATGCCAAGAGACAAGATATTCTTGATTCTGAAGTCTTGTTCTTTCATACAGCAATGTAATTAATAAGAAGAAAAGCAGGACATAGATGTGGAGCCTATTTTAATAAAAAATTGTCTATAGATTTTGATGATAAAATTTAAAAATCTACTATATTTAGTTACAAAAAACTAGGTTGTGGGAACATATTTGGTCAATAAAACACCCCTACCAAGTGCTGACAAGAAAAAATGTTAGGTACCACCTTTCTTCTCTGCAGATGGCCTGAGATGGGTTAATTTGAAAGAACGCTTCCAAACCTGAGGTGACCCCTGAGAACAGCATAACCCACTGCTGTCTCCCACATTCAGTTTCTCAGTTTGTGCTCTTTTAATTTTGCGGGGAGGGAAGCCAGACCTTTAAACCAATCTTCAGCATGATGGCAGAGCCAAGGAGTGTGGACAGGTGGCACGGTGTCTGACTTTGTTCCAGCAGCCACTTGGGCTTTCTCTGGATCTTCTCTGCCCTAGGGATAGCACCACTATTGAAAACATATCTTTGTGACATTCTCTATGCCAGGAACTCCCAACACATTTTCCTTGAAACTGATGAAATGAACAAAAATAAACCAAGAGGTGTGCTGTTTGTTTCTTTTTCCTCCTTTCTGCAGCTCTTCTTGATCATCTAATATTTTTAAATACATTGTCGATCACCAAAAGGAGCATAAGGGGTATATTGATTTGTAGCAGATGTATTAATAGCCCAGCCCCTATTCCTTACCTGTAGCTGCTGGGAAGAAAACCATTCTTAACACTCTACAGAGTGTCATCTCCAGAATTTGCAGCTGTTTCTAGCTGAGGACTTTCTCTAGCAGCACGGGAGTTTGATACTGGGCATGAAGTGGGAAGAAAAGGTGAGGGTAACTAAGAAGAATCTCCCTGGATTCAGTGATGTAATTCTGAGGCATCTTCCACATAGCTTCCCATAGAATTAAGCCCAGATATCTAACGCAGGATCTTGCCTCTTAACACGTGTGGTATTGGCTTTTCTATCTTTCCTGTTTTATTTTGTTCTCTCTTCCTTGTCTTACTTTCACTGTGTCCTCACTCCTGCTTTAAGAATACCCAAACAAATACATTCATTTATTTTTTTAGAGTCTCAGAACACAGTTGTTTGTTGAATTTGTAATCTATGATAATCAGCTTGGATGCTATACTTACAGGAAGATAGTGAACTCACAATGTCTAATTAAGATAAAATTAAAAAGTATATTGATTCATGTCCAAAGATTTAAAAAACCTAAGCGGCAGTGTCACAATTTCGTTTTTAGTTTACATAGTTTCTTAAATGCCTACAATTGTTTTAAAAGAAACCTTGAATCTAGGAAAAATTGAGGCATATGGAATAAATTACTAACCCATTTCTCCTTGAAATCCATAAGATGATTGATGATTTTTCAAATATATTTCTGAATTGAAAAACTAGTTGCTAATTATTTTTATAAACATATCCTTATGCAATATTTTGTTTCCTGCAGTGAATTGAAGGTTTAAAGATTAAATTATTCTATCCAGAGAATAAAAAGCAATTATTTCACAAGGAGAACATGGGTACTTTGACACGACATCTTAAAGTCTAGATTTTAAAATAGGTCCCATACACTTTTGTGTCAATTAGAATACGTTTGTATCAGTCTGTCTACAGTTTTACACCTGTCTAAATGTACTTGAACTACAACAACTACCTTGAACAGTTTTGAAATTTATGATTCCTCTGAAACTGATTAAAAGAATTATGGTAGAGTGAAATTCTGATTGACATAATTTGGGAGAGAAATTATTCCTTGGGGATCAACCTCTGCCAAGATAGTTTATAATGACATTGAGGCTTCTTGATTTACACAATTTGTTATATAAAAATATACTAAGACGATGGCAGATAATACACAGACTTTAATTAAAATTGTACTACAATTAAAAGTCTAAATAAATTGGAAGTGTTCATGGTACATCTAAATGTATGTTTATATATTTTATTTGTGCATTTTTTTCCTAGGGTTTCTTTTGCTTTAGTTTGTAAAACGTTCTCATTTTTATGATAATGTAGCATATGCTAAATAAAGAAAAATCAGGAAATAGAAAATGAAGAAGAAAACATTAGCTATTGTCAACCAAATAAAAATTGTGCAATCTCTAAGCACATGAACTATGTAATATTTGTACAGCATAGTACAATGTTTATGCTTCACAGGGTGAGGTAGAGACTGCAAAACCTTGAACTTGGGACAAATAAGAGAGTAAGGAAATTTTCACAACTTATTAATATTATAGAAAATTCTGAACTTAACAGTTAAGATACAAATAGTGAAAAATGATGGTATTTAAGGAGATCTAGAAAATTTAATCTATACCTGTAATGTGTGAGAATTATTAGAATAATGCTTGTATTTCTGTATTGGCATCAATTTCTATTGAGACTGGAAACATAATAGAAGTGAACAAAAAAGAATTTAAATTGTGGATACTTGAGTTTTATACCTAGGAGTTTGAGAAATACATTTTGTTACTATCAAAGCAGTTGGCACAAGAGTGTACAAAATTCCCTAATTGTGTCTATGTGGAGAAGACATAGACAAACAGAGAATAGCAAAACAGAAAGAGCAAAAAAACACAAATAAATTTTACCTGTATTTTTAAGTAAAAGCCAATTAGAGTAGGAAAACATGAAATCTGTGTTTTGTCAAAATTTTTCTCTTTCTCATAATATAGTTGAATATATTACTGGAAAAAATTTGAAGCACTGGTATGTTCACAAATAAAATTAAAATATAAGGTCAAAACAATGGGAATGCAGGGAGCAGACAATATATAACTAAACACCGAAACTAATTTTGCCCTATGGACATGTAGCAAAATGAATGAGTGCAGATTCTTACTGTCATACATCACATAGGACAGTAAATAAATACATAGTTTTTCCCAAGATAGGGCATTACACAGGAGCTCTTCCCTAAAGCTATGACCAAAATTTATATCCTCAGTATAAAGAAGAATCAGGGGTAAATTAGTCCCATTTCACATTCCCTGGAAATGGCAAATAAAAATGACTTGAGATTGGATAGATTTAAAGAAACTCAATCGTTAATGATTTACAGCAACTAATTTAAAAATTGTTTAAATGTGCAGTCCAAACATACGTCCGAACAACTTTAGGCCAAGAATTAATATAATGTGGTCCCAGAATGGTGGTGCCTTTAGTAGAATCACAAAACAATTGAAATTCTCTTTGGCAAATTTTCTATTTACTAATCTGCAAAAGTGCACAAAAATAATTTTCAGAGAAAAATAAATATTTGTCATTCAAAGGCATCTAAGTATGCAAGGAAATGATATTCCACCATTTGAAAGGAAAGCAGAAAAAGAGTACATACAGATCCACAAAGGTTCATTAGTGGAAATATCACTGTTAGATTATAAAGCACATTTGCTTTCAAAAAATTTAAAAAAAATGAATATATTGTTAGGAGACTAAAAAATTCATGTAGCAAATTTGGAAAGTAGTTTGTATAAAAATATAGTTATTTTAAATTAAAAACTCAAAGATGAATTCATCAGATTAGACATGGCCAAGGTGAGATTTCATAAATATTTCAGAATGCATTACAGAAAATTTGAAAAAATGTAAAATGTGGACAGAATGATGAAGAGACATGGAAGATACAGTGAGAAAGTGTAGCATGCGTTTAGAGAGTGTTCTCATAGAAGAAGGGAACTGGGAAGGGACAATATGTGTTGGTATTTTGTTTGAAAGTTCCCTAGACTTTTGTAAGACACTAATCTGCATATTCAAAAATTCCATGCAATGTAAGCAAGCTACAATGGAGATAAACCTACACCTATGTATCTCCTAGAGAAATAGTAAACAAGGAAGGGAAAAATATTTCAATTAGCACTAGAAAAATAAAATTACTTTTAATCATATTGAAATCTGAAAAAATGAAAGGTAAAATAAACAATAATATTTGTTAAGAATAATAACGCCATTCTGAATTTCTAAACAAAGAAAAATATTCATTATCCTATGGCTAAATAACATATTTAGAGATAAAACACAAAACGCCACCAGCAGAATTCCACTAAAGAAACAACAGAGAAACTATGAAAATATGCTTCAGAAAGGTTGAAGTTCTGAAATCCAAGAATGAACAGAGAGTAATATATATTGCAAACATACAGATAGAACAAATAAGAAACTGGGTTTTGAAACAAAAATATATTTAAAATTAGATAAGCACTGCAATATGTATGATAAAAAGAAAATTATTAGGGCTGAAGTATTCAAAGAACACTTAATGTTCTGACAAGAGCAGAGAAGTGAGTATGACTTTGCAACTCTTTTTTCTTTTTCGAATGGAATGGAATGGAATGGAATGGAATGGAATGGAATGGAATGGAATAGAATGGAATGGAATGGAATTCAATGGAACTGAATCGAATGGAATTGAATGGAGAGGAATGGAATGGAATGGGAGATGAGATTGTGCCATTGTGCTACGGGATGGGTGACAGAGAGAGACACTCTTGAAAGAAAGGAATGGAATGTAAAGCAGTGGAATAGAACGGAATGGAAGGCAATGGAGTGGAGTGGAGTGGAGAAGAGTGGAGTGGAATGGAATTGGATGTAATGGAAAGTAGTGGAATGGAATGGAATGGAATGGAATCATCATTGAATGGAATAGAATGGAATTATCATCTAATGGAATCAAACGGAATCATCATCGAATGGAATCGAATGGAGTCATCATCAAATGGAATCGAATGGAGACATCATCGAATGGAATCAAAAGGCATCATCATCCAATGGACTTGAACGGAATCATCATCGAATGGACTCGAAAGGAATCATCATCAAATGGAATCAAATGGAATCATCATTGAATGGAGGCGAATGGAATCATCATCGAATGGAATCGAATGGAATCATCATCGAATGGAATCGAATGGAATCATCATCGAATGGAATAGAAAGGTATTATCATCGAATGGAATCAAACGGAATCATCATCGAATGGAAACGAATGGAGTCATCATCGAATGTAATCAAAATGCATCATCATCCAATGAACTTGAACGGAAGCATCATCGAATGGACTTAAAAGGAATCATCATCGAATGGAATCAAATGGAATCATCATTGAATGGAAGCGAATGGAATCATCATCAAATGGAATCAAATGGAATCATCATTGAATGGAAGTGAATGGAATCATCATCGAATGGAATCGAATGCAATCATCATTGAATGGAATCGAATGGAATCATCATCGAATGGAATCGAATGCAACCATCATCAAATGGAATTGAATGGAATCATCATTGAATGGAATCGAATGGAATCGTCAACAAATGTAATCGAATAGAATCATTGTATGGAATCTAAAGGAATCATCATCAAATGGAACTGAATGGGATCATCATTAAATGGAACGAATGGAGTAATCATTAAATGGAATCAAATGGACTCTTGATCGAATGGGATCGAATGGAATCATCATCGAATGGAATCAAATGGAATCATCTAATTGAATCGAATGGAAAGATCATCAAAAGGAATCGAAGGGAATCATCGAATGGGATCAAACAGAATCATAGAAGGGAATCAAAAAGAATCATCGAATGGATTCGGATGGAATCATCAGCGAATGGAATTGAATGGAATCATGGAATGGACTCGAATGGAATCATCATTAAATGGAAACCAATGGAATCATCGAATGAATACAAATGGAATCATCATTGAATGGAATCAAATGGAATCATCGAATGGCATGGAATGGAATCATCATCGAATGGAATCTAATGGAATCATCGAATGGACTCGAATGGAATAATCAAATAGGCTTGAGTGGAATCATCTTCGAATGGAATCGAAAGGAATCATCGAATGGACTCGAATGGAATCATCATCAAATGGAAGCAAATGGAATCACCATCAAATGGAATCGAATGGAATCATCATCAAGTGGAAGCGAATGGAATCATCATCAAATGGAATAGAATGAAATCATCATCGAATGGAATCATCATCGAATGGAATCATCATCGAATGGAATCACCAAATTGAATCGAATGGAATGATCATCGAAGGCAATCGAAGGGAAACATCAAATGGGATTGAACGGAGTCATTGAATGGAATCGAGAGGAATCATCGAATCAACTCAAATGGAATCATCATCGAATGGAATAGAATAGAATCATCGAATGGACACGAATGGAATCATCATCAAATGGGATTGAATGGAATCATCAAATGGACACGAATGGAATGAACATTGAATGGAAACAAAAGGAATCATCAAATGGCATCGAATGGAATCATCGAATAGAATCAAATGGAATAATCGAATTTACTCGAATGGAATCATTGAATGGACTCAAGAGTAATCATCATCGAATGGAATCGAATACAGTCATCAAATGGACTCGAACGGAATCCTCATCGATTGGAATCGAATGGAATCACTGAATGGAGTTGAAGGGAATCATCATGGAATGGAATCGAATGGAATCATCGAATGGAGTCAAATGTAATCATCAGCAAGTGGAATGGAATCGAATGGAATCATGGAATAGCATCAAATGGAATCATCATCGAATGGAGTCAAATGGAATCATCAAATGAACTCAAATGGAATCATCATAGAATGGGATCACATGGAATCTTTTAATGGACCCGAATGGAATCATCATCGAATGGAATCGAATGGAGTCATCATCGAATGCAATTGAATGGAATCGTCATCGAATGGAATCGAATGGAACCATCAACGAATGGAATTCAAAGGAATCATCATCGAATGGAACCAAATAGAATCATCAAATGGACTCGAAAGGAATCATCAAATGGATTCAAAAGGAATCGTCATGAAATATAATTGAATGGAATCATCAAACAGAATTGAATCAAATCTTCATCAAAAGAAATCAAATGGAATCATCAAATGGACTCGATTGGAATCAACATGGAATGGAATCAAAAGGAATCATGGAATGAACTCAAAGGGAATCATTGAATGGAATTTAAAGGAATCATCATCAAATGTAATCAACTGGAAACACTGAATGGAATCGAATGGAATCATCATAGAAAATAATCGAATAGAATAACCGAATGGAATCACATGCAATCAACATCAAATGGAATCAAATGGAATCATAGAATGACATCGAATGGAATCATCATCGAATGGAATCAAAGGGAATCATCATCAAATGGAATCAAAAGCAATCAATGAATGGACTTGAATAGAATCATCAAATGGATTTGAAGGGAATCCTCATCAAATGGAATAGAATGGAACCATCGAATGGACTCGAATGGAATCATCATCGAATGGAATCAAACGGAATCATCACATGGACTCCAATGGAATCATCATCAAATGGGATCATCATCAAATGGAATCAAATGGAATCATCGAATGGACACGGAAGGAATGAACAAATGGACTCAAATGGAAACATCAAATAGAATCGAATGGAATCATCGAAAGGAATCAAAAGGAATTATCGAATGGACTCGAATGGAATCATTGAATGGACATGAATGGAATTATCATCAAATGGAATCGAATGGAATCATCAAATGGACTCGAATGGAATCATTGAATGGACTCGAATGGAATCATCAAATGGACTCAAATGGATTCATCAAATGGAATCAAACTGAATCATCATTGAATGGAATCGAATGGAATCATCGAATGGAATTGAAGGCAATCATCATCGAATGGAATCGAATGGAATCATCATCAAATAGAATCGAATGGAATCATCAAATGGAATCGAATGGAATCATCATCAAATGGAATTGAGCGGAATCATCGAATGGAATCAAATGGAATCATTGTCGAATGGAATGGAATGGAATCATTGAATGGAATTGAATGGGATCACCAATGAACGGAATCAAATGGAAACATCTTCTAATGGAATCGAAAGGAATCATCAAATGGACTCGAATGGAATCATCATCAAATGGAATCGTGTGGAATCGTTGAATGAACTGGAAATGAATCATAATCAAATGGAATCAAAAGGAATCATCATCGAAAGGAATCACATTGAATCATCATAGAATGGAATCATACGGAAACATCACAGAACAGAATTGCATGGAATCAGCAATTCGACTCAAATGGAATCATCAAATGGACTCGAAGGGAAGTGTCGAATGGACTCGAACAGAATCATCATCAAACGGAATAGAATGGAATCATCAAAAGGACTTGAATGGAATCATCAAATGGACTCGAAGGGAATCATTATTGAATGGAATTGAATAGAGTCATCGGATGGACTCGAATGGAATCATCATTGAATGGAATTGATTGGAAACATCGAATACACTCGAATGGAATAATCATCTAATGGAATTGAATGGAATCATTGAATGGACACGAATGGAATCATCATCAAATGGAATCCATTGGAATCATCAAATGTAATCGAATGGAACTATCAAGTGGAATCGAATGGAATCATCTTTGAATGGAATTGAATGGAACCATAGAACTGAATCGAATGCAGTCATCATTGAATGGAACTGAAAGGAATCATTGAATGGAATCCAATGGAATCACCATTGAATGCACTCTCATGGAATCATCATTGAATAGAATCGAAAGGAATCATTGAATGGACTCGAATGGAATCATCATCGAATGGGAATGGAATCGAATGGAATCATCAAATGGAATCAAATGGAATCATCATCAAATGTAATCAAATGGAATCATTGAATGGAATCGAATGGAATCATAATTGAATGGATTCGAACAGAATCATCGAATGAAATAGAATGGAATCAACAACAAATGGAATTGAAAGGAATCTTAGAATGGCATCGAATGGAATCATTATCTAATGGAAAGGAATGGAATAAGCATCGAATGGAGTAGAATGGAATCATTGAATGGACACAAATGGAATCATGATTGAATGGAATCGAATGGAATCACCCAATGGACCCGAATGGAATCATCATTGAATGGAATAGAAGGGAATCATCATCGAATGGAATCAAATGGAATCATCCAATGGACACGAATGGAATCATCTTTGAATGGAATAGAATGGAATTATCATCGAATGGAATCGAATGGAATCATCTAATGAACCCGAATGGAATCATCATTGAATGGAATAGAATGGAATCATCAAGTGGAATTGAATAGAATCTTCATCATATGGAATCCAGTGCAATCATCGAATGGACTCGAATGTAATAATTGGAGAATGGAATCAAATGGAATCATCGAATGGACTCGAATGGAATCACCATCGAATGGAATCAAATGGATTCATCTAATGGACCCAAATGGAATCACCATCGAATGGAATCGAATGGACTCATTGAAGGGACTCAAATGGAATCATCATCGAATGGAATCAAATGGAATCATCGAATGGATTCGAATGGAATCATCATGGAATGGAATGGAATGGAATCATCAAATGGATTAGAATGGAATCATCATTGAATGAAATCAAATGGAATCATTGAATGGCATCAAATGGAATCATCATTGAATGGAATCAAATGGACTGATCTAATGGACTTGAATGGAATCGTCGTTGAATGGAATCAAATGGAAACATCGAATGGACATGAATGGTATCATCATCGAATGGATTCGAATGGATTCATCATCAAATGTATTCGAATAGAATCATCATCGAATGGAATCGAATGGAATCATCGAATGGAATAGAATGGATTCATCTTCGAATGGAATCAAATAGAATCATTGAATGCAACCAAATGGAATCATCATTGTATGGAAACGATTGGAATCATCATCGAATGGAATTGAATAGAATCATCATCGAATGGAATGGAATGGAATCATCGAATGGACATCAATGGAACAATGATCAAATGGAATCGAATGGAATCTTCAAATGGACTCAAATGGAATCATCATTGATTGCAGTCGAATGGAATCATCATCAAATGGAATTGAAAGGAATCATCATCGAATGGAATCGAATAGAATCATCAAATGAAATGGAATGGAATCATCATTGAATGGAATATAATGCAATTATCATCAAATGGAATCGAATGGAAACATCGAATGTAATTGAATGGAATCACCATTAAATGGAATCGAATGGAATCATCATCAAATAGAACTGAAAGGAATAATTGAACATACCCGAATGGAGTCATCATCGAATGGAATTAAATGGAATCATTTAATGGACACGAATGGAATCATCATCAAATGGAATTGAATGGAATCATCGAATGGACTCGAATGGAATCATCATCGAATATGATCGAAAGCAATCATCAAGTGGATTCAAATAGAATGATCAAATGGACTCGAATGGAATCATCATTGAATGAAATCAAAAGGAATCATCAAATGGACTCGAATGCAATCATCAATGAATGGAATCAAATGGAATCATCGAATGGAATCGAACTGAATCATCATCATATGTAATCGAATGGAATCATCGAATGGACTCGAATGGAATCATCATCGAATAGATTTGAATGGAATCATCGTATGGACTTGAAAGGAATCATCATCAAATGGAATCGAAAGGAATCATCGAATAGAATTGAATGTAATTATTATCAAACGAAATCGCATTGAATCATCGAACGGACTCGAATTGAATCATCATCTAATGGAATCGAATGGAGTCATCGACTGGACTCGAATGGAATCATCATTGAATGGAATGGAATGGAATCATCAAGTGGATTAGAATGGAATCATCATCGAATGAAATCAAATGGAATCATTGAATGGAATAGAAGGGAATCATCTTTGAATGGAATCAAATAGAATCATCCAATGAAATCAAATGGAATCATCTTTGAATGGAATCGAATGGAATCATTATGTAATGGAATTGAATAGAATCATCATCGAATGGAATGGAATGGAATCATGGAATTGACACGAATGGAATCTTCATTGATTGGAATTGAAAGGAATCATCGAACAGACTCAAATGGGATCATCATCAAATGGAATCCATTGGAATCATCAAATGGAATCGAAAGGAATTATCAAATGGAATCGAATGGAATCATCTTTGAATAAAATCAAATGGAATCATCAAATGGAATCTAATGCAATCATCCTCGAATGGAATCGAATGGAACCATAGAATGCAATCGAATGGAATCATCATTGAATGGACTCATATGGAATAATCATTGAATAAAATCTAAAGGAAATACCGAATGGAGTCAAATGGAATAATTGTCGAATGGAATCGAATGGAATTAACGAATGGAACCGAATGGAATGAGCATCGAATGCAATTGAATGGAATCATCATTGAAAGGTATCAATTTAAATCATCAAAGAATGGAATACAATGGAATCTTCATCGAATGGAACCAAATGGAACCATCAAATGGCCTCTAATGGAATCATCGAAGGGACTCGAATGGAACCATCATTGAATGGAATCAAAAGGAATCATCTTTGAATGGAATCAAATGGAATCATCGAATGGAATCAAATGCAATCATCATCGAATGGAATCGAAAGGATTCATTGAATGGAACCGAATGGAATCACCATTGAATGCACTTGCATGGAATCATCATCGAATAGAATCGAAAAGAATCATCAAATGGACTGGAATGGAATCATCATCAAATGGAATCGAAAGGAATCATCGAATAGAATCAAATGGAATCATCATCAAATGTAATAAAATGGAATTATAGAATGGAATCAAATGGAATCATCGAATGGAATTGAAAGGAATCATTGAATGGACTCGAATGGAATAATCATTGAATGGAATCGAATGGAAACATCATGGAATGGAATAGAATGGAATCATCGAATGTAATCATGCTCAAAAGGGATTGAATGGAATCATCAAATGGACTCGAATGGAATCATCATCGAATGAAATCATATGGAATCATCGAATGCAACTGAATGGAATCATTGAATGGACTCGAATGGAATTATCATTGAATGGAATTGAATGGAATCATTGAAGGCACTTGAAAGGAATCATTGAATGGACTCGAAAGGAATCATCATCAAGTGGAATCGAATGGAATCATTGAATGGACTCGAATCTTTGAAAGGACTCGAATGGAATCATCATTGAATCAAACCTAATGCAATCATCAAATGGCCTCGAATGGAGTCCTCATCGAATGAAACAGAAAGGAGTCACCAAATGGAATCGAATGCAATCATCAAATGGTCTCAAATTGAGTCATCATTGAATAGAATCGAATGGAATCATCAAATGGACTCGAATGGAATCATTGTCGAATGGAATTGAATGGAATCATCAAATGGACTCGAATGGAATCATCATCAAATGGAATCGAATGGAATCATTGAATGGAAACGAAATGAATCATCATCGAATGGAATCACATGAAATCATCGAATGGCATCAAACGGAATCATCATTGATAAGAATCAAATGGAATCACCTAATGGAAAAGAATGGAATCACAATCGAATGGAATCGAATGGGGTCATTGAATACAATCGAATGGAATCATCATTGAATGGAAGAGGATGAAATCATCATAGAATGGAATCGAAAGGAATTATTGAATGCACTTGAAAGAAAACATCAAATCGATTCGAAAGTAATCATCATCATGTGGAATTGAATGGAAGCATCGAATGGACTCGAATTGAATCCTTGAATGAACTCGAATGGAATCATCCTCGAATGGAATCTAATGGACTAATTCAATGGACTCGAATGGAGACATCATCTAATGGAATCGTATGGAATCATCGAATAGACACAAATCGAATCATCGAATGGACTCAAAAGGAATCATTATCAAGCGGAATCAAATGAAATCATCAAACGGACTCAAATGCAATCATCAAATGGCCTCGAATGGAATCATCATCGAATAGAATCGAATCAAGTCATCAAATGGACACGAATGGAATCATCATCGAATGGAATTGAATGGAATCATCGAATAGAATCGAATGGAATCATAATCAAATTGAATCAAAAGGAATAATCAAATGGACTTCAAAGGAATCATCAAATGGACTCAAATAGAATCATCATCGAAACGAATTGAATGGAATCATTAAATGGATCCTAATGGAATCAATATCAAATGGAATTGAATGGAATCATTGAATGAACTCAAATGGAATCATCATCAAATGGAATCGAAAGGAATCAGGGAATGGAATCGAAAGGAATCATCATCGAATGGAATGGCATGGAATCATCAAATGGCATCAAACGGAATCATAATCAGAAAGAATTGAACGGAATCATCCAATGGACACGAATGTAATCAATATCAAAAGGAATCAAATGGAGACGTTGAATGGAATCGAATGCAATCATCACGGAATGGAATTGAATGGAATCATCATCAAATGGAATCGATTGGAACTATTGAATGGAATTGAATGGAACCATCAAATTGAATCGAATGGAATCATGATCGAATGGAGCAAATGGAATCATCATCGAATGGAATTGAATGGAATCATCATTGAATGGAGTCGAATGGAATCATCATCGAATGGAATCGAATGGAATCACCATTGAATGGAATGTTATGGAATCATCGAATTGACTCGAATGGAATCAATGATTGGAATCGAATGGAATCATCATCGAATGAAATAAAGTGGAATAATCGAATGGACTCAAATAGAATGATCATCGAATGGAATCGAATGAAATAATGGAACACACTCAAATTTAATCATCGAATGGACCCAAAAGGAATCAACGTCAAGTGGAATCGAAAGGAAACATCGAATGGACTTGAATGGAATCATCGAATGGACTCGAATGGAATCATCATCGAATGGAATCGAATGGAATCATCAAATGAACATGAATGGAATCATCATCGAATGGAATCAAGTAGAATCATCGAACAGATTCGAGTGGAATCATCATTGAATGGAATCGAATGCAATCATCAATGAATGATGAATGAATGGAGTCATTGAATGGAGTCCGTTCGAATCATCATCGAATGGAACCGAATGCAGTCATCATCAAATGGAATCAGATGTAATTATCGCATGGACTCGAATGGAATCATCATCGAATGGAATCGAATGGAATCATTGAATGGACTCGAACGAAATCATCATCAAATGGAATCGAATGGAAACATCTAATAGACTCTAAAGGAATCATCATCGAATGAATTCGAATGGAATCACCGAATGGACACGAATGGAATCATCATCGTATAAAATCGAATGGAATCACCGAATGGGGTCGAATGGAATATCATCGAATGGAATCAAAAGCAATCATCGAATGGACTCAAATGGAGCTACTGAATGGAATCATTGAATGGACTCAAAAGGAATCATCATCAAATGGCCTCATATGGAATGATTGAATGGACTCGAATGGAATCATGGATTGGACTCAAATGGAATTATCCATTGGGCTCAAATGTAATCATTGAATGGACTCGAATGGAATCATTATTGAATTGAATCAAATGGAATCATCAAATGGAATCGCATGGAATCATCAAATGGAATTGATCAGAATCACCATCAAATGGAATCAAATGGAATCATAGAATGGAATCCAATGCAGTCATCATCGAATGGACTCGAATGGAAACATCATCAAATGGCATCAAATGGAAACATCATTGAATGGAATCTAATGGGATAAAGGTATGGACTCGAATGGAATCATCGAATGGAGTCAAATGGAATCATCATCGAATATAATGTAATGGAATCATCGAATAGCATCGAATGGAATCATTGTCAAATGCAGTCGAATGGAATCATCGAATGGACGCGAATGGAATCATCACGCAATGTAATCGAATGGAAACTTCGAATGGACCCGAATGGAATCATCACCAAATGCAATCAAATGGAATCATCATCGAATGGAATCGAATGAAATCATCATTGAATGGAATCGAATAGAATCATCCAATGGAATAGAATTGATGCATCATCGAATGAAATCAAATAGAATCATTGAATGAAAATGAATGGAATAATCATCGAGTGGAATCTATTGGAATCATGAATGAATGGAATGAATGGAATCATAGAATGGAATCCAAATTAATCATCATCAAATTGAATCCAGTGGAATCATTAAATGGACTCTAATGGAATCATCAAATGGATTTGAATGCAATCATCATCGAATGGAATAGAATGGTATCATCGAATGCAATCAAATGGGATCATCATCGAATTTTATCGAATGGATTCATCGAATGGACACGAATGCAATCATCATCGAATGGAATCGAATGGAATCATCTAATGGACGCGAATGGATCATCATTGACTGGAAATGATTGGAGTCATCATCGAATGGAATCGAATGGGATAATCATTCAATGGAATCGAATGGAATCATCTATTGGGATAGAATGGAATGATCATCAAATGAAATAGAATAGAGTTATAGAAAGAAATCGAATTGAATCTAATGGAATCTTTATCGTATGGAACTGAGTGGAATCATCATCAAATGAAACCAAATGGAGTCATCATCGAATGGAATCAAATGAATCATCATCGAGTGGAATCGAATGGAATAATCAATGAATGGAATGGAATGGAATCATCAAATGGAATCTAACGGAATTTTCATCACATGGAACCGAATGGAATCATCATCAAATGGAACCTAATGCAGTCATCATCAAATGGAATCGAAAGGAATCAGCATCAAATGGAAGTGAATAGAATCATCATCGAATGGTTTTGAATGGAATCAGCATTGAATGTAATCAAATGGAATCATCGAATGGAATCGAATGGAATGATCATCAAATGGAATTGATGGGAATCACCAAATGGAATCAAGCAGTACGATTGAATGGATTTCTATAGAATCATTCCATGGACACGAATGGAATCATCATCAAATGGAATCATCGAATGGAATCATCAAATAGAATTGAATGGAATCAACATTGAATGGAAGCGAATTGAATCATCGAATGGAATCCAATGGAATCATCCTCGAATGGAATCAAATAGAATCATTAAATGGAATCGAATGGAATCCTCATCGAATGTAATTGAATGGAGTCATAGAATGGTATCGAATGGACTCATCATCAAATGGAATCGAATGGAGTGATAGAATAGTATCAAGTGGAATCATCATCAAATGGAATCGAATGGAATCATCATAGAATGGAATCGAAAGCAAATATCGAATGGATTCAAACAGAACCATTGATTGGACACGCATGGAATCATTATCCAATGGAATGGAATGGAATCAACGAAGGGAAACAAATGGAATAATCATCGAATCAAATCCATTGGAATCATCTAATGGAATGAATAGAATACTCATTGAATGGAATCGAATGTAATAATCAAATGGACACGAATGGAATCCTCATTGAATGGAAGGGGATGGAATCATCGAATGGAGTCAAATTTAATCATCATCAAATGGAAACAAATGGAATCATTGCGGAACAGACTAGAATGGAATCATTGAATGGACTCGAATGGAATCATCGAATGGATTCAAATGCAATCATCATCAATGGAGTCGAATGGAATGAAAATCTTACAGAATCAAAAGGAATCATCATTGAGAGGAATTGAAGTGAATCATCGAATGGAATCAATTTGAATCATCAAATAAAATCGAATGGAATCATCATCGAATGGACTTGAATTGAATCATAATGGGATGGAATTGAATGGAATCATCAAATAGACTCAAATGGAATGATTGATTGGACTCAAATGGAATCATCATCGAATGGATATGAATGGAATCATCATTGAATGGATATGAATGGAATCATCATCGAATGTAATCAAATGGAATCATCAATGAACGGAAGCGAATGCAATCATCATCAAATGAAATCGGATGGAATCAATGAATGGCATCGAATGGAATCATCACCGAATGGAATCGAATGGAATCACCGAATTGACACGAATGGAATCATCATCGATTGGAATCGAATGGAATCATTGAATGGACTCGAATGGAATCATCATCGAATGGAATTAACTGGAATCAACATCGAATGGAATGAATGGAATCATCATGGAATGGAATCATCGAATGGAATCGGAAGAAATCATCATCGTATGGAACCAAATGGAATCATCATCAAATGGAACCAAATGAAGTCATCATCGAATGGAATCGAATGGAATCATAGAAAGGGATCAAACGGAATCATCGAAGGGAATGGAATGGAATCATCGAACGGATTCGTATGGAATCATCATAGAATGGAATTGAATGCAATCATGGAATGGACACGAATGGAATCATCATCAAATGGAATCGAATGCAATCATCGAATGGACACAAGTGCAATCATCCTTGAGTGGAACTGAATGGAATCATCGAATGGCATCCAATCTAATCATCATCGAATGAAATCTAATGGAATCATAGAATAGACTCTAATGGAATCATCGAGTGGACTTAAGTGGAATCATCATCAAATGGAATCGAATGGAATAATCATGGAATGGAATCAAAAGCAATCATCCTCGAATGGACTCGAATGAAATCATCGAATGTACTCTAATGGAATCATCAAATGGAATTGAATGGAATCTTCGAATGGCCCCAAATGGAATCATCATCGAATGGAATCAAATGTCATCATTGAACGGACTCCAGTGGGATCATGATCGAATGGAATCAAATGGAATCATCTAATGGAATTGAATGGAATCATAATTGAATGAAAACGAATGGAATCATTGAATGACGTCAAATGGAATCATCATCCAATGGAATCGAATGGAATCATCGAATACACTCGAATGCAATCATCAGCGAATGGAATTGAATGGAATCATTGAATGGGCTCGAATGGAATCATCATCGAATGGAATCAAATGGAATCATTGAATGGAATCATAATCGAATATAATCGAAAGCAATCAACAAATGGATTCGAATAGAATCATCGAATGGCTCTAATGGAATCATCATCGAATGGAATCAAATGGAATTATCTAATGGACCTGAATGGAATCGTCATCAAATGGAATCAAATGTAATCATCAAATGGACTCGAATGGAATCATCATCTGATGTAAACAAATGGAATCACTGAAAGGACTCGAATGGAATCATCATCGATTGGAATGAAAGGGAATCCGTAAATGAACTCGAATGGAATCATCATCGAATGGAATTGAATGGAATCATTGAATGGATTCAAAAGGAATCATCATCGAATGAAATTGATTGGAATCACTGAATGGACACGAATGGAATCATCGTTGAATGGAATCAAATGGAATCATCGAATTGACTCAAATGGAATCATCGTCGAATGGAGTTGAAAGCAATCATCGAATGGATTCAAATGGAATTATCAAATGGACTCGAATGGAATCATCGAATGCACTCCAATGGAATCATCATCGCACGGACTCTAACAGAATGATCGAACGGACTCTAATGGAATCATTGAATGGAAATGAATGGAATCATTGATAGGACTCAAATGGAATCATCGAATGGACATGAGTGTAATCATTATCCAAGGGAATCAAATGGAATCATCGAATGGAATTGCTCGGAATCATCATCGAATGGAATCGAAAGCAATCATCATCGAATGGAATCGAATGGAATCATCATCGAATAGAATAGAAAGAAATCATCGAATGGAAACAAATGGAATCATCATCGAATGGAATCGAATGGAATCATCGAATGGAATCAAATGGAATCATCATCTAATGGAATCTAAATGAATTAACATCAAATGTAGTGGAATGGAATCATTATTGAATGGAATCCGAAGGAATCATCATCGAATGGAACCGAACGGAATCGTCATCGAATGGAACCAAAAGGGGTCATTAACGAATGGAAATGCATGGAATCATCACCGAATGAAATCGAATGGAATCATCATCAAATGGAATCTAATGGAATAATCATCAAATGAATTGAATGGAATCATCGAATGGACTCAAATGGAATTTTCATCAAATGGAATGGAATGGAATCATTATCAAATAGAATCGAATGGGATCATCAGTTTAAATCAAATGGAATCATCGCCAAAACGAATAGAAATAAAACAAAGAATAGAATCCAATGGTATCATTGAATGGAATTGAAGGGAATCATCATTGAATGGACTCGAATGGAGTCATCATCTAATGGAAACGAATGGAATCATTTAATGGACTCGAATGTAATCATTGAATGCACTTGAACGGAATCATTGAATGGAATTGAATGGAATCATCACTGAATGAAATCAAATGGAATCATCGAATGGACTCGAATGGAAATATCATCGAATGGAGTCGAATGAAATCATGGAATGCACTCGAATGGAATAATCGAATGGACTCAAGTGGAATCAACATCGAGTGGAATCAAAAGGAAACGTCAAATGGACCTCAATGGAATCATTGAATGGACTCGAATGGAATCATCAAATGGAATTGAAAATAATCTTCGAATAGACTTGAATGGAATCATTGAATGTACTTGAATGGAATCATCATCGAATGGAATCAAATGGAATCATCGAACGGACCCGAATGGAATCACCATCGAATGGAATCTAATGGAATCATTGAATGGACCCGAATGGGATCACCATCGAATGGAATCGAATGGAATCATCGAATAGAATCCAATGGAATCATCATTGAATGGAATCGAATGGAATCGTCATTGAATGGAATCGAATGGAATCATCATCGAATGGAATATAATGGAATCATCATCAAATGGAAAAGAATGGAATCATCAACGAATGGAATCAAATGGAGAAATCGAATGAAATCCATTAGAATCATCATCAGATGGAACCGAATGCAGTCATCACCGAATGGAATCAAATGGAATTATCAAATGGATTAGAAGGGAATCATCATAGAATGGAATTGAATGGACTCACCGAATGGGCTCGAAAGGAATCATAATCAAATGGAATCGAATGGAATAATCGAATGGACACGAATGGAATCATTGTTGAATGGAATCGAATGGAATCGTCAAATGGCATTGAATGGAATCATCATCAAATGGAATTGAATGGAATCATCGAATGGACTCGAAAGGAATCATCAAATGACTTGAGTGGAATCATCATCGAATGGAATCGAATGGAGTCAACGAATGGACTCAAATGGAATCATCATCTAAAGGAATTGAATGAAATCATAATCGAATGGAATCTAATGGAATCACCATCGAATGGAGTCAAATGGAATCATCATTGAATACAATCGAAAGGAATCACCGAATTGAATCAAATGGAATGATCATTGAATGGAATTAAAGGGAATCATCAAATGGGATCGAACGGAGTCATTGAATGGAATCAAGTGGAATCATCGAATAATGGAATCATCATCGAATGGAATCGAATGGAATCATCAAATGGACTAGAATGTAATCATCATTGAATGGAATTGAATGGAATAATCGAATGGACACAATGCAATCATCATTGAATGGAATTGAATTGAATCATCATTGAAAGGAATCTAATGGAATCATCGAATGGAATCGAATGGAATCATCATCAAATATACTCAACCAGAAACATTGAATGTAATAGAATATAATCATCATTGAATGTAAAAGAATAGAAAAATCAAACGGAATTGACTTGAATCAACATTGCATGGAATTGATTGGAATCATAGAAAGGTATCAAATCTAATCATCATCGAATGGAATCAAGTGTAATCATCATCGAATGGAATCCAAAGCAATTACTGAATGGACTTGAATTGAATGATTGAATGGAGTTGAAAGGAATCATCATCAAATGGAATAGAATGGAATCATTGAATGGACTCGAATGGAATCATCTTCAAATTGAATCGAATGAAATCATCGAATGGACTCAAAGGGAATCATCATCGTATGGAATCGAATGTGATCATCTTCAAATGGAATCATCGAATGGACTCGAATGGAATGATCAAAGGGACTCGAATGGAATCATCAAACGAATAAAATGAAATCATCGAATGGACTCGAATGGAATTATCAAATGCACTCCAATGGAATCATCAAATGGACTCTAATGGAATCATCATCGAATGGAATTGAATGGAATCATCAAATGTACACGAAGGTAGTCATTGAATGGACTCGAATGGAATCATCAAATGCAATCGAATGGAATAATCATCAAATGTAATCGAATGGAATCATCCAATGGAATCAAATGGAATCATCAAATGGAATCGAACGGAATCATCTTCGAACAGAACCGAATGGAATCATTGAATGGAATCAAAGGCAATCATTGTTGAATGGAATCAAATGTAAATATCATCGAATAGAATTGATTGGAATCATCGAATGGAATTGAATGGAATCATCGTAAATGGAATCAAGTGGAATCATCGAATGGAATCTAATGGAATCATTGTCGAATGGAATGGAATGGAATCATTGAATGGAATTGAATGGAATCAGCAATGAAGGGAATCGAATGGAATCATTGTCAAATGGAATCAAGTGGAATCATCGAATGGAAACTAATGGAATCATTGTCGAATGGAATGGAATGGAATCATTGAATGGAACTGAACGGAATCACCAATGAATGGAATCCTCATCAAATGATTTCAAATGGATTCATCAAATGGACTCGAATGGAATCATCATCGAATGGAAACGTTTGGAATCATTGAATGAACTCGAAATGAATCATAATCGAATGGAATCGAAATGAATCATCATGGAATGGAATCACATGGAATCATCATGGAATGGAATCGTACAGAATCATCATCAAATGGAATTCAATGGAATCATCAATTGGACTCAAATGGAATCATCAAAAGGAATCGAATGGAAGCATCGAATGGACTCGAATGGAATCCTCATCGAATGGAATCGAATGGAATCATCGAAAGGACTTGAATAGAATCATAAAATGGACTAGAACAGAATCATTATAGAATGGACTCGAATAGAGTAATCGGATGGACTTGAATGGAATCATAATGGAGTGGAATCGATAGGAATGATCGAATGCACTTGAATGGAATCATCATTGAATGGAATTGAATGGGATCATCGAATGGAATAAAATGGAATCATCATTGAATGACATCAAATGGAATCGTCGAATGGAATCAAATAGAATCATCATCGAAAGGAATTGAATGAAAGCATCGAATGAAATCGAATGGAATCACCATCGATTGGAGTCGAATGGAATCATCATCGAATAGAATCTATTGAAATCATCAGTTAAGACAATCGAATGGAATCATCATCAAATGGAATCAAATGGAATCATCAAGTGGAATCGAATGGATTCATTGAATGGAATCCCATGGAATCATCATCAAATGGAACCGAATGGAATCATTGAATGGACTTGAATGGAATCATCATCGAATGGACTCTAATGGAATCTTCATCAAATTGAATCGAATGGTGTCATTGAATGGACTCAAGAGGAATCATCAAATGGACTTGAATGGAAACATCATCGAATGGAGTCCAATGGAATCATCGAATGGCAACGAATAGCATCATCAATAAATGGAATCTAAGGGAATAATCAAATGGACTCGAGTGGAATCATCATCATATGGAATCTTTGAATGGACTCTAATGGAATCTTCATCAAATGGAATCGAATTGAATCATCAAATGGACTCGAATGGAATCATTGTCAAAAGGAATTTAATGGAATCATGGAATGGACTTGAATGGAATCATCGAATGGCATCGAATGGAATCATCATCGAATGGAATGGAATGGAATCATCTAATGGACTCAAATGGAATCATCACCAAATGGTATCAAATGGAATCTACGAATTAACTCGATTGAAATCTTCATCGAATGCAATCGAATGGAATCATCCTCGAATGGAATTGAATGGAACCATCACTGAATGGAATCGAATGGAATCATCCAATGGAATAGAATTGCATCATCATCAAATGGAATCAAATAGAATCATTGAATGAAATCGAATGAAATCATCATCGAGTGTAATTGAATGGAATAATCAGACTTTGGAATCGAATGGAATCATCATCGAATGGAATATAATTGAATCATCATCGAATGGAATCGAGTAGAATCATCGAATGAAATTGAATGGAATAATAATCGAATGGAATCAAATGTAATCATCATCGAATGGAATCGAATGGAACCATCATTGACTGGAATTGAATGGAATGATCTAATGTAATAGAATTGAATCATCATCGAACAGAATCATTGAATGAAATTGCATGAAATCATCATCGAATGGACTCGAATGGAGTCATCGAATGGACTCGATTGGAATCATCCTCGAATGGAATCAAATGGAACCATCATTGAATGGAATCGAATGGAATCATTAAATGGAATCGAATAGAATCATCAAGTGGAATTGAGTGGAATCATTGAATGGAATCGAATGGAATAATTGTCGAATGGAATGGAATGGAGTCAATGAATGGAATTTAACGGAATCACCAATGAATTGAATGCGATGGAGTCATCATCAAATGGAATCGAATGGAATCATCGAATTGACTAAAATAGAATCATCATCGAATGGAATCGTGTGGAATCATCTAATGGAGAAGAATAGAATCATCATCGAATGGAATCGAATGGAATAATCGATTGGACATGAATGGAATCACCATCGAATGGAATCGAATCGAATCTTCGAATGGAATCGAATGAAATTATTGAATGTAATCGAATAGAATCATCATTGAATAGAATCGAATTGGATCATCATCGAATAGAATCTTCTGAAATCATCATCGAATGGAATCTAGTGGAGTCATCATCTAATGGAATTGAGTGGAATCAGCAAGGAATGGAATCGAATGGAGAAATCGAATGGAATCCGTTGGAATCTTCGTCGAATGGAACCGAATGCAGTCATCATAGAATGGAATTTAATGGAATCAATGAAGGGACTCGAATTGTGTCATCATTGAATGGAATTGGATGGAATCATCAAATGGACTCGAATGGAATCATCGAATGGACCCTAATGGAATCATCATTGAATGGAATCGAATGGAATCGAATTGAATCATCAAATGGACTCTAATGGAATCATCATCGACTGGAATGGAATGGAAACATCGAATGGACTCGAATGGAATCATTGAATTGACTCGAATGGAATCATCATCGAATGGAATCGCGTGGAATCCTCGAGTGGAATCAAATGGAATCATCAAATGGAATTGAACAGAATTATAAGAAACTTACTTGAACCAAAAAATAGAAAAACAAACAAACCAAAACCCCCTAAAACTGTGATGAGCAAAGTAGACATCAGAACAGGAAATATCACTGGGGATGAAGAATAACATTTCAAAATGACAAAGGGGAAAACACATCAAGAAGTCATGTAAATAAGAAATATTTATGCACACAACAGCATTACTTCAAAATGCACAATAGAAAATCTATTAAAACTGAAAGGTAAAATAGTAAAACCACAGTCATCCATGTGGATTTCAACAGTCTCCTGCCAGAAATTTTTAAATTTTGTTAAACGAAATGTTAGGAAGGGTAGAGAGGATCTTAAAAATATAATTAGCCAACTTGATCTAATTGAATCTTTTAGAATAATCTAAGGATGAGGAACGAGTTAGTAGAGAAAGAAAAGGCAGACATCAACATGACATTAGTGTTTCGAAGCTATGAGAATACACCAATAATGGTATGTGTGTGTGTGCAGATGGTAAGGTGAATCTTAAAAATACTGAGATTTAACTGACAATTCATTATTAAGAAAGATAAGAGAAAATGATATCTAGTGAGAGGCTATATGACTGAACTCTAAGAGAAAGGTCACAACAGAAATTGTGTACTTGACAGCTCTATAAGGAGGTCAGTCAAAAATAAGTCAGTGATGAATTCTCTGGGGTAAAAGCAGAGGAATGAGGATTAGATTGAAAACACATGGAAGCAGAGTGACTTATGATAAAAACATGAGCTTGAAAATCCTGCAGAGAGGGCTTTAAATCCTGGGTATGATATTCTGCTTGTGTAGGCCAAAGTGATAAAAACACAACAACAAAAGAGGTAAAGAGCACTTTCCTTTGATATAAGTAAAGGGCACGTCTTATTGCACATATATATATAGAACTGAGATTCAACATGTTTCTCTCATTGAAACAGCAAGCTCTCCAGACCTTCATGTTCCCAGTGAGGTAGGTAAACTTCTGATGATTATACTCACCCTCCCTCATTGCAAAGCTCCCATTGTTATTGTCTTGGCTCTGTATTCCCTCAAAAATAGACTATGAAGCAAATATCTGGGGTCAGATACTTTAATCAGAAATTGAGTGAGAAAGCACAGAAGTGGAGAAAATGAAACAGAACACGAAGCCAGTGTGAATGAGTAGTTACTGCTATGTGCTCAGTAATGATGGAGGTATTGCGACTGTGTCAAAATAACTTTAAAAAGAGATGGGGATTCTGGAATCCCCATCTCTTATTGCTTAAGGATTGCCTTAGAATCATTAACTCTCCACCCCTAACTCCTTTGCTCCTATGTGTGGTTGAGAAGCACTGGTTAGCCTCAAGAAGCTTGCAGGCAGGCCCAAAAATCAGAAAGACAGGCATGATGTGAGGAGCTCTCAGTTAGCTGGAAACAGGTGAATTTCAGGTGAACACATTGAGTCCAGGACATAGAAGACAAGTCATCAGCAATATCTGCTATAGCCAGTTTTCTTTTTCTTTTTAAGAATATATACACATTTTCTTGGGGGTCCCCAAGTCCCTCTTTGGTTTAATGACTCACATAACCCAAGAAAGCTGATTTTTTTGTGGTTATAATTTCTAACAGTGAAAGAAACCAGATTAAAATAATCAGAAGCATAAAAGCACATAAAGTTGAGTCCAGGACAAACCAGATGTGAGCTTACAGGTGTACTTTCATAGTGGGGACTTCACACTGACTAATTTTCTTCATAATGGTGTGAGACAACATGTGTGAACTTGTTGCCAACTAAGGAAGCTCAGTCAGCCTTGAGTCCAGGGTTTTTATTAGGATTCCACCACATATGCATCGAGCGTCCTGTGACTGAACTTAGCTACTTAATTCCCAACCTCCCTATGCCCTAAGAGAGGTCATATTAATATGGCATTACACAAAGTCATAGGCATACAGAAACAGGTGCTCACAAGAAATCACGTTGTTAGCATCAGCTATTTGATATGACCCACGTTTTCAGGTATACAAAGACTCTCATCAGGCAACATATACCAAGGGCTCATAGGTTATCATCTCCCAGGAGCTTGTCTAGGGCCAGTCCTGAAGACCTTTGGAATGCACAAGGTTTTGGAAAGCCATGTCTGCAGAATTAACCCTTCATTACACAACCTCCAAGAATTTTTTTTATCTTTAAAAATGTTGTTTGATCTTTGACAATGTACCAACCAATACTGAGTAATTAGTAACAACAGTGTACTCCTGAGTACCTGCACATGCAAGGAGAAAAAGGACAGATGCACTTACATAGGACAGATGCAAATAGACACCACTATGACAAGTAAAGCTGGAATAATCAATAAATTCCTAAAGACAAAGTGGGGCTGGTGAGATGGGGAGACTGCTGACAGCTGCAGAAGTAGGGAAAGATCCATCATCTTGAAAATTTTTTCCCCACAAACCCACTGCTTTCTCTCAAGCAATTGGTAAGGAATCCAAGAGAGACTGTATATGACACAGATCAGGGAGAGCAGAACACTTGGGAGGTGACCAGGTCTTGGGGGCCGAGCCCTTATGAATGGGATTAGTGCCTTTATAAAAGAAGCTCAATGGAGTTCTAGTGTGCCTTCCACTATGTGAGGACTTAGAAAGAAGGCACGATCTATGAACCATGAAATGGGCTCTCATCAACACTGAATTTGTGAGCATCTTGACCTGAGATTTTACAGCCTCAAGAAGTGTGAAAAAAGGATATATCTGTTGCTTTTTAGTCACTCAGTTTATGTTATTTTGTTATAAGAGTCCAAATAGACCAAGATGTTCCACTTAATATGTAGGGGAAGGCAACAAAAACTGCCACACTTAGAATACTCCTGATGCTGGGAGTATGAAAACAGGAAAAACAAAACAAAACTGCTCTTGAAGGTGAAAGAGGAATATCACTGAGCTCACCAACACAGCCAGAAAAAGAACAGAGGTGTGAGAAGGCTACATTCCTGAGACCCTGAGAAAAAGTACCTGCATAAGACTGAGATGAAATTACCTACTCTAGTTATGATTGAAATCCCAAAAAGAAAAGAGGGAAAAATAATGGAGCCAAAGAAATATTTTTCAAAATAACTGCCAAAAATATTCTAAAAGGAGTGACAGAAAATCAAACTTCAAATATAGGAAACTCAGAGAATGTCAAATAGAACCAAAAGAAATAAGAATTACATCTTGAAAAATCTTTAAAAAATCAAGTCTAAATTTTATATCTTGCTCCAAATATATAGAGATATAAATAGGTTATCATCAAGATATGGAGAAAGCCATATCATGGAAACACTAAAATAAGGCTGTGGAAGGACTACATTGATATTAGACACAACAGAGTTCGGAACAAGAAATAGTATCAGAGATGAGAAATAATAGATAATAGAATAATCAATCAATTCTCAAGAAGATGTAAACATCCTACTAATTAGGGTATGCAGCTAACAACAGAACCTCCAAATACATGAGGTAAAACAGGAAAGAAATCAAAGGTGAACTAGAAAAATCCAAAATTATATTTGCAGACTTCAACACTTTTGTCTTAGTAATGGAAAGACTAGTCACAAACTCAGTAATCATGTGGAAGATAAGATGAACAATATCATCAAGACATCCAATCTTCAATGGCAGATACTCTTTCCTTTCAAGTGAAAAAAAAACAGTATGCCATATTCTCTAACAAACCCAGAATTTCTAATATTTGCGTTCTTCCTTCCTTCTTTCCATCTTCCTTTCTCTTCTCTTCCCTTCCCTTGCCTTCTTCTTTCCTTTCTTCTTTTCCTCCTCCTTTTCTTTTCTTTTTTCTTTTCCTTTCTTTCTTTTCTTTCTTTTTTCTCCTTCCTTCCTTCTTTCCTTCTTTCTTTCTTTCCTCTTATTCTTGTTCCCTCCTCCCTCTCTTCCTTTCTCCCTCCCTTTTCTTCCTTCTTTTCTCATATTCTTTCTTTCTTTCTCACGTTCTTGCTTTCTTTCCTTTATTCTTCCTTCCTCCCACCATCCATTTCTCCCTTCCTCCCTCCCTTCCTTTCCCCTTTTTCCTTCCTTCCTTCGCCTGTTTCTTTTCTTTGTTTCCGTGCCTTCCTCCCTTTTACCATTCTCTCTTCCTCCTTTCCTTCCTCCCTTCCTCCCCTCCTCCTTTCTTTCTTTCTCTCTTTCTCTCTTTCTTTCTCTTTCTTTCTTTCTTTCTTTCTTTCTTTATTTCCTTCTTTCTTTCTTCTGTTCATGCTTTCTGTTTTCTCCCTTCCTGCCTTTCTCCCTTCCTCCCTCCCTCCCTTCCTTCCCTCATTTCCTCCTTCTTTTATTTCTTCTTTCTTTATTTCCTTCCTTCTTTCCTTCCTTCTTTTTCTTTGTTTTCTTTTCTTTCTTTCTTTTTAATGCAACTCATATTATTTTAAAACAATTAAGAGAGGGAGACATAAAAATAAAGAACGCTTTAATCTGCAGGTAAATAGATTATGTCTGCTGTAGGCAAAAGAATGGCCGCCCAAAAATTTTCATGTCCTAATTCCCAGAGTCTAACATACAAATATGTTAGGTTGCATGGCAGTGTGAAATTAGATTTCAAGTGAAATTAAGGTTGCGGAAAAATGATAAAGAGATTGTCTTAAATGGGTGGGATCAATGAAATCACAAACTTCCTTATAAGTGAAAGAAGAAGGCAGAAGAAAGGCAACCTTTGAGGTGGTGACATGAGAAATTACTCAACATCACTGACTTTTAAGATACAAGAATGAGGACCGAGTGCGGTGGCTCACGCCTAATCCCAGCACTTTGGGAGGCTAGGGTGGGTTTATCACGAGGTCAGGAGATTGAGACCATCCTGGCAAACATGGCCAAACCCCATCCCTACTAAAAATACAAAAAATTAACTGGACGTGGTGGCAAGTGTCTGTAGTCCAACCTGCTCAGGAACCTGAGGCAGAAGAATCACTTGAACCTGGGAGGCAGAGGTTGCAGTGAGATGAGATCATGCCACTGCACTCCAGCCTGGGTGACAGGAGGAGACTCCATCTCAAAAAAAAAAAAAAAAAGAAATATAACATCTAAGAATGAGGACATGTTCCAAAGAATAAAGGTGGCCTCTGGATGCTGAAAAAAATCAAGTAATAGATTCTGCCAAATAGCCCTCAGAAAGACTGCAGCCCTGCCCAAAACTTGATGTTAGCCCTGTGAGTTTCATTTAAGGCTTCCGAACTACGAGGATTAACGGTCACTTTATTGTAAGATATGAAGTTTGTGGTAATTGGTTACAGCAGCAAGAGGAAGTTCATATTGTAATTGTATCATGAAAATGAGAACCATAATTTACAACTGCATTTAATACTGCACTTGGATGTTTGAAATCACGTACATGGAAATGATCTCTATGTGCATGACGGAGGATAGCAAATTGATGCCAAAATAATGCAAATGCAAATCTTACACTCATTTCTATGTAGGTTTCATTTAATCTTTGAAATTAAAATGAAATTAAAAGACTGTGATCTTTTGATGAAATTAGACTAAAATGAACAATAACAAAATAAGAACTTACTTATATTCTTTATATGGTCAATAAAGAAGTGATAGTGGAAAAAAACAAGATCAAATGAAGGTGATGATTTAGGACGTTGGAAAGATAGCTGACACTACAAAATGGTATATAACCAGTGAACACTTAGACACACTGATTGATGAACTTCAGCATTTGGCTTGGTGAGAGCATAAAATGAGAGCAGCTGAGGTTTGCAAATTTGTAATCTCCTTGTGGAAAAACAGGGGAAAACACATCTCAGCCTAATAAGATTTATCTACTAAAGAGTCTAGAATTGATCCATTTGTCCTTGTAATTCAACAGCTAATTCAAATACTGATTCGATGTATTGTGTGAACAACCATTGCTGATTATCATCGCATACCTGGCATTCTCTTGTATCTGATATCTAAAATATTTGGTAATTCCTGGACTTTCTCTTTTCAAACCCAGTACGGTTTAATTTGAGTCTTAGAACAGTTGTCTTTGAGAAATTCTTCCCTCTACTGCATCTGTGAATGGGCATAGCATGGTTACATACATACTGTCACTCCATAGAACATTTGCTAAATTAAAGCCAAAGTTTAAAGCAAGAGCGTTAACTTAGTGGTTTTACTAATGGTTTCCTCCCCAATAGCCGCAACAATATTGACACCCTCACACCTTTTAACATAAAGCTTGGTGTTGTCTATTTTTCAGGTGCTGTCATCTATATGATGTCAGTATTGTAAAAATCAGCTTCCAGCACATATGGTGGTTCATGCTTGTAATACCAGCAGTTGAAGAGGCTGAAATGAAAGGATTCCTTGAGCCCAGGAGTTCACAAGCAACCTGGGCAACATAGCAAGACCCAGTCTCTATCAAAATTTAAAAAAAAAAGTGTTCCTATTTCTCCACATCCTCTCCAGCACCTGTTGTTTCCTGACATTTTAATGATTGCCATGCTAAGTGGTGTGAGATGGTGTCTCATTGTGGTTTTGATTTGCATTTCTCTGATGGCCAGTGATGATGAGCACTTTTTCATGTGTTTTTTGGCTGCATAAATGTCTTCTTTTGAGAAGTGTCTGTTCATGTCCTTCACCCACTTTTTGATGGGGTTGTTTGTTTTTTTCTTGTAAATTTGTTTGAGTTCATTGTACATTCTGGATATTAGCCCTTTGTCACATGAGTAGGTTTCGAAAATTTTCTCACATTTTGTAGGTTGCCTGTTCACTCTGATGGTAGTTTCTTTTGCTGTGCAGAAGCTCTTTAGTTTAATTAGATCCCATTTGTCAATTTTGTCTTTTGTTGCCATTGCTTTTGGTGTTTTAGACATGAAGTCCTTGCCCATGCCTATGTCCTGAATGGTAATGTCTAGGTTTTCTTCTAGGGCTTTTATGGTTTTAGGTCTAACGTTTAAGTCTTTAATCCATCTTGAATTGATTTTTGTATAAGGTGTAAGGAAGGGATCCACTTTCAGCTTTCTACATGTGGCTAGCCAGTTTTCCCAGCACCATTTATTAAATAGGGAATCCTTTCCCCATTGCTTGTTTTTCTCACGGTTGGTGGGACTGTAAACTAGTTCAACCATTCTGGAAGACAGTGTGGCGATTCCTCAGGGATCTAAAACTGGAAATACCATTTGACCCAGCCGTCCCATTACCGTGTATATACCCAAAGGACTATAAATCATGCTGCTATAAAGACACATGCACACGTATGTTTATTGTGGCATTATTCACAATAGCAAAGAGTTGGAACCAACCCAAATGTCCAACAATGATAGACTGGATTAAGAAAATGTGGCACATATACACCATGGAATGCTATGCAGCCATAAAAAATGATGAGTTCATGTCCTTTGTAGGGACATGGATGAAATTGGAAATCATCATTCTCAGTAAACTATCACAAGAACAAAAAACCAAACACCGCATATTCTCACTCATAGGTGGAAATTAAACAATGAGATAACATGTACACAGGAAGGGGAATATCACACTCTGGGGACTGTTGTGGGATCGGAGAGGGTGGAGGGATAGCATTGGGAGATATACCTAATGCTAGACGATGACTTAGTGGGTGCAGCGCACCAGCATGGCACATGTATGCATATGTAACTAACCTGCACAATGTGCACATGTACCCTAAAACATAAGTATAATAAAAAAAAAGTGGGCAAGGTGGTGTGCACCTATTGTCCTAGCTATTTGGGAGGCCAAGGTGGAAGGATTGCTAGACCTTGGGAGGCTGAGGCTGCAGTGAGCAGTGATTGCACCACTGCACTCCAGCCTGGGCAACAAAGCAAGAACCTATCTCAAAAAATATATATAATAAAAATAAAAATCAGCTCTCATTGATTTCTATGTAAATGTGTACAGGTGATGTCCATATAGATATAAATAATAATATTTCTGACAATGGGTCCATATGATCTTCAAAATAAAAAATGTCTATCTGTGTAATTGACTGGTTAGTCTCATTAATGAATATAGATTCAATTCTACTTTCTTGTTATAGATAAATTATATAATCTAGCTTTTCATTTCACTTATTTACTGATAACAACAGGAAGAATGACAAGATATCTATTTTGCAAAATTACTCTGGTAGGAGTAAAGATGAAATAATGATATAATTGCAAGGACAACTAGAAAAAAGTATGTTCTTCTGATATTCTATCACATCACATACTAAAGGCCTCATGAAACTCAGATATTTTATCTAAAAATGTTATTTTCATCATAGGAATGATCAAAGCATGGGACCACAATTGTATGAAAATGTGCTTGTATTACAAGCACAGGTGCTAAAAAGGAAGGGAAAACATCATTACTGATATTTTCAACGTATGCTTTACTTTTCATCAACATGAACCTAAACTTGATATGATGAAGATTGAGGGAAATCACCCATAATTCCATATGAAGAAGGCCTGTGATATTTTATGGGAAAATAAATAGAGAAAATGCTAACAGAAACCCTATTAAGCATGAAGCTTTATGGAGCGAACACAAATCCAGTGGTGAAAGATACACAATCGAGTTCTGTTTGTTGTCTTGGAACAATACGGTTTAGAGGTGACTGGCGGTTGAGGAGAACATAAGCGAGTTCACCAAAGAGAAAAGCTGAATGAAGCAATGCCTCTTCCTGACCATATCTCTTTCTCAGATAACTATAAAATTTATTGTCCAGTAAAGGGTATATTAAAAAATCATATAAAAAGTCATGCAGTGAAGTTGTCCAGGGAAATCAAGACTTAACAGTCTCACTCTGACAATAATGAACAGGGGGATTCCCTCAAGGTAGACTAGGACATGACCCCACACTGGCAGGTAGAAGTACCAGAAAAGAATGCATGGAAAATCTTTACCTTATGCTTGAGGTAGGGACCAGGCTAAAGTGAAAGCCAGACCTAAAATTCTATCTAAAATAAATCCAAAATCAAAGAAAATATGTGGTGTACAGGCATAGAATGTCTTTACTGGATCATTGAAATAGTAGGATAAATTCAACTTTTTACATTGTTTTCTTTTCTTGCAGTTAGGGCTTGAGGTTTGTCTCTGGAGAGTGACTGTCAATTGGAGCTCTGCCTTTCTGGGGTTCTGGTCAGGAGGTTGTGGATGCTTAACATGTGCCTTTCACAGGACACTTCCTCACCCCAGCAGTGGCCAGGTGTGCATCCCACGACCAGGTCTCCCTCTCACAGAACATCTATTGAGACTAGGAGATGCCTGGTGACTGTTGCCTGACCGGTGTCCTGTGTATTTCTGACAAGAGCCACTCTCAGAGACCCTGGCCAGGAGGAGAGTTAGGTTCCAGTGTAGGTCAGCTCAGACACATGGAGGCCACAGAACCAAACATGGGAAATCACAGAAGTAGGTTTATTACTCACAGATCCAGAGAGAAGAGTGTAGCTGAGAAGAGGGTTTAGCTGTGTCCCCAGCCAAGTCTCATCTTGAATTCCCACATGTTGTAGGAGGGAACAGGTGGGAGGTAATTGCATCATGAGGGCAGATCTTTCCCATGCTGTTCTTCTGATAGTGAATAAGTCTCACAAGATCTGATGGTTTTATAAAGGAAAGTTTCCTGCACAAGCTCTCTTGTCTTGTCTGCTGTCATGTGAGACGTGCCTTTCAGCTTGCACCATGATTGTGAGGCCTACCCAGCCATGTGGAACTGTGAATCTATTAAACCTCTTTCTTCTGGAAATTACCAAGACTTGGGCATTTCTTTACCGGTGGTGTGAAAATGGACTAATACAGTAGCACACCTCATAGGGCTGAACAAAATTGGGAAAATGAGTGGGGAGCAGGAGAGAGAAGAGGGGTCTGTGGGACTCCAGCCTTTATTGGGCCCAGAACATTATCCAAATAAGTTTACCACGGGGCACTAGTCGGTGGGGAGAGTGCCAGCAGGCACATTTCTCGACTCCCGCTGCAATTGAGCAGGTCACTGTGGCGTGTGGGGGCTGTCCATGTGCACTCTGAGGTCTGTGGGGTGAGTTAGGTAGGTTGTATCCAACGGTTCCATAGCTGGTAGTCACCAGGAGGAGGCAACTGTATAGGGTCAATATCTGGGCCAGCCACACTGAGGAACTGTGAGGGTTAGAACTGGAAATTTTCAAGGGAATCCGAACCCAGCTACCATATGAGAGAGTTCAACTTATGTTCAATGTGAATGCCATGGCAATATTAAAAGGTAAGAATTCGCTCCATACGTGCTTGAGGTAAATAGGAGAAACCTAGAATTTATGTAAACAGTGAGAATATTGGATGCGTTTTATGTCATATATTTTAATATTAGCAGCTTATTATATATGTCAATCCATCAGGCATTCAGAAACACATGCTGATGAAAATGTTTTGCACCATCAGACAAAAGACAAGGATAGAAGACATTTGTAACCCTATAAACACTAGTAAATTAAAAACAGAAGGACCTTTATGTCCTAACATATCTGTGTTGTGAAAGGCTGCCCTGTGAAATACGGGATTTCTTAAACATATTTTAAAAACCATAGGTGTCAATATTTTTTAGAAATCCATTTAAATTTTCTCTTGCTATTTTAAAATGCCTATTTATTTATTTAGTTGCTCTGCTGATTTTGATGTATATCCTAAACTTTATATTTTTTTTAAAGGATGTTTTATACAACTTTATGTAAAATGTATCGGTATCTTCACATTCTCTCCCTGTCCTTTTGTTTTGCTCTTATATGATGTTCTTGAGTATTTTCTCTGGCTTTTCAAACCTAGTAAGACTAAGACACTAAAGTAACTTTGCCCATGGTTTGGTAATGCCTTCTAAAGCACTTCCTAAGCTCTCATGCATACAGGGGTCTCCTTTGAGCTCTGTGCTTTTGAGATCCCATAAACCTAAATTCCAGTACTCCAAATCAGTACTGCTCAGTTTTAGTGACTAAGTTTAAAAATGTATTTTAATAGCATGTTATCTTAGTGCACTCT